>NC_000005.10:94655261-94958291 GCF_000001405.40 Homo sapiens | reverse complement strand
ACTATAAATTTCCCTCTACACACTGCTTTAGCTGTGTCCCAAAGGTTCTGGTATGTTGTGTCTTTGTTCTCATTGGTTTCAAAGAACTTATTTATTTCTGCCCTAATTTTGTTATTTACTCATTTGTCATTCAGGAGCAGGTTGTTCAGTTTTCATGTAGTTGTGCAGTTTTGAGTGAGTTTCTTAATCCTGAGTTCTAATTTGATTGCACTGTGGTCTGAGAGACTGTTTGTTATAATTTCTGTTCTTTTGCATTAGCTGAGCAGTTTTACTTCCAATTATGTGGTCGATTTTAGAATAAGTGTAATGTGGTGCTGAGAAGAATGTATATTCTATTGATCTGGGGTGGAGAATTCTGTAGATGTCTATTAGGTCCACTTAGTCCAGAGCTGAGTTCAAGTCCTGAATATCCTTGTTAATTTTCTGTCTTGTTGATCTGTCTAATATAGACAGTGGGGTGTTAAAGTCTCCCACTATTATTGTGTGGGAGTCTAAGTCTCTTTGTAGGTCTCTAAGAACTTACTTTATGAATCTGGGTGCTCTTGTATTGGGTGCATATATATTGAGGATAGTTAGCTCTTCTTGTTGCATTGATCCCTTTGCCATTAGGTAATTCCCTTCTTTCTCTTTTTTTTTAATCTTCATTGGTGTAAAATCTGTTTTATCAGGGGCTAGGATTGCAACCCCTGCTTTTTCTTTTTTTTCTTTCCATTTTCTTGGTAAATCTTCCTCCATCCCTTTGTTTTGAGCCTGTGCATGTCTTTGCACGTGAGATGGGTCTCCTGAATACACCATTGGGTCTTGACTCTTTATCCAATTTACTAGTCTGTGCCTTTTAATTGGGGCATTTAGCCCATTTACATTTAAGGTAAATATTATTATGTGTGAATTTGATCCTGTCATTTTGATGCTAGCTGGTTATTTCGCCCATTAGTTGATGCAGTTTCTTCATATTGTCAATGGTCTTTACATCTCGGTTTGTTTTTGTGGAGGCTGGTACCAGTTTTTCCTTTCCATATTTAGCACTTCTTTCAGGAGCTCTTGTAAGGCAGGCTTGGTGGTGACAAAATCTCTCAGCATTTGCTTGTCTGTAAAGGATTTTATTTCTCCTTCACTTATGAAGCTTAATTTGGCTGGATATGAAATTCTGAGTTGGAAATTCCTTTCTTTAAGAATGTTGAATATTGGCCCCCAGTCTCTTCTGGCTTGTAGAATTTCTGCAGAGAGATCTGCTGTTAGTCTGATGGGCTTCCCTTTGTGGGTAGCCAGACCTTTCTCTCTGGCTGCCCTTAACATTTCATCTTTCATTTCAACCTTGGTGAATCTGACGATTATGTGTCTTGGGATGGCTCTTCTTGAGGAGTATCTTTGTGGTGTTTTCTGTATTTCCTGAATTTGAATGTTGGCCTGTCTTGCTAGGTTGGGGAAGTTCTCCTGGATATCCTGAAGTGTATTTTTCAACTTGGTTCCATTCTCCCCTTCACTTTCAGGTACACCAATCAAACGTAGGTTTGGTCTCTTTACAGAGTCCCATATTTCTTGGAGGCTTTGTTCATTCCTTTTCATTCTTTTTTTTTGTAATCTTGTCTTTACACTTTATTTCATTAAGTTGATCTTCAATCTCTGATATCCTTTCTTCCACTTGATCAGTTTGGCTATTGATATTTGTGTATGCTTCACGAAGTTCTCATGCTGTGTTTTTCAGCTCCATCAGGTCATTTATGTTCTTCTCTGAACTGGTTATTCTATTTAGTAGTTCCTCTAACCTTTTATAAAGGCTTTTAGCCTCCTTGCATTGGGTTACCACATGCTCCTTTAGCTCTGAGAAGTTTGTTATTATCTACCTTCTGAAGCCTACTTCTGTCAATTCATCAAACTCATTCACCATCCAGTTTTGTTCCCTTGCTGGCAAGGAGTTGTGATCCTTTGGAGGAGAAGAGGCATTCTGGTTTTTGGAATTTTCAGCCTTTTTGCGCTGTTTTTTTCCTCATCTTTGTGGATTCATCTACCTTTGGTCTTTGCTGTTGGTGACCTTTGGATGGAGTTTTCCACGGTCATCCTTTTTGTTGATGTTGATGGCTATTCCTTTCTGTTTGTTAGTTTTCTTCTAACAGTCAGGTCCCTCTTCTGCAGTTCAACTGGAATTTGCTGGGGTCAACTCCAGACTGTTTGCCTGGGTATCACCAGCAGAGGCTGCAGAACAGCAAAGATTGCTGCCTGCTCCTTCCTCTGGAAGCTTCATCCCAGAGGGGCACCCACCAGATACCAGCCAGAACTCTCCTGTGTGAGGTGTCTGTCGACCCCTGCTGGGAGGTGTCTCCCTGTCAGGAAGCATGGGAGTCAGGGACCCACTTGAGGAGGCATACTGTCCCTTAGCAGAGCTTAAGGTCTGTGCTGGGAGATCTGCTGCTCTCTTCAGAGCTGGCAGGCAGGAACTTTTAAGTCTGCTGATGCTGTACCCACAGCTACCCCTTCCCCCAGGTGCTCTGTCCCAGGGAGAAGGGAGTTTTATCTATAAACTCCTGATTGTGGCTGCTGCCTTTCTTCCAGAGATGCTCTGCCCAGAGAGGAGGAATGTAGAGAGGCAGTCTGGCTACAGTGGCTTTGCTGAGCTGCAGTAGGCTCTGCCCTGTCTGAACTTTCTGCAGCTTTGTTTATACTGTGAGGGGAAAACTGCCTACTCAAGCCTCAGTAATGGCAGACGCCCCTCTCCCTACCAAGCTCAAGCCTCCCAGGTCGACTTCAGACTGCTATGCTAGCAATGAGAATTTCAAGCCAGTGGATCTTAGCTTTCTGGGCTCCATGGGGGTAGGATCCACTGAGCAAGACCACTCGGCAACCTGGCTTTAGCCCCCTTACCAGGGGAGTGAACAGTTCTGTTTCACTGGCATTCCAGGTACCACTGGGGTACGAAAAAAGACTCCTACAGCTAGCTCAGTGTCTGCCCAAATGACTGCCCAGTTTTGTGCTTGAAACCAGAGGCCTTGTGACATAGGCACCCAAGGGAATTTCCTGGTCTGTGGGTTGTGAAGACCATGGGAAAAGCATAGTATCTGGGCCAGAGAGCACTGTCCCTCACGGCATGGTCCCTCACAGCTTTCCTTGGGTAGGGGAAGGAGTTCCCCGAACCCTTGCACTTCCTGGGTGAGGCAGTGATGCCCCACCCTGCTTCTGCTCACCCTCTGTGGGCTGCACCCACTGTCCAACCAGTCCCACTGAGATGTACCAGGTACCTCAGTTGGAAATGCAGAAATCACCCGCCTTCTGCATTGGTCTCACTGGAAGCTGCAGACTGGAGCTGTTCCTATTTGGCCATCTTGCCTGGGAATCAACTTTGATTTTCTTTATCATCATAGGGAGTTTAGGAGGTGTCAAGGGATAATACAAAGAATCCAATTCACTTATTAAACATGTGTTCCCCTTTCTCCTGATGTCTTTCTC
Organism: Homo sapiens; assembly: GCF_000001405.40. Taxonomy (NCBI): domain Eukaryota; kingdom Metazoa; phylum Chordata; class Mammalia; order Primates; family Hominidae; genus Homo; species Homo sapiens. The sequence goes on along the minus strand of NC_000005.10, from coordinate 94,954,850 downwards.
TGAGACCTCCACCCCTTCCTAACATTCTAAAATTGAAACTTCTGAGCAAGAAAAAATATGGGACCAAGGATGAAATGAAGCCCACTTTAACACGCATCTTTTCCTAAGCCCATTAGACTAGTATAAAATTTTAGCAGCGTATATATGCTGTTAAAACTATTTAAATCAGTGAAGATTATTCAACATCTTTTTATAGTTGACCAGATGATATCAAGAGGAAGATCAGATTAATCTCTATGATTTATAACTTTAATTAAATTTACACATTCAACATGCAATAGAGTGTGGTTTTAAAAAATAGATTTAGGGATACAAGTGCAGTTGTGTTACATGGATGTATTGCATAGTGGTAAAGTCTGGGCTTTTAGAATACCCATCACCCAAGTCGTATACATTGTACCAAATAGATGGTATTTCATTCTTCACCCCTCTCCCATCCTCCTACCTTTTGGAATCTCCAGTGTCTATTTTTCCATTCTTTGTCTTCATGTGTACCAATTGTTTAGCTCCCACTTGTAAAAGAGAACATGTAGTTTTTTACTTACTTTCTCTGAGTCATTTCACTTAGAGTAATGGCCTCCTGTTCCATCCATGTTGCTGCTAAAGACATGATCTGTTTCTTATGGCTGAGTAGTATTCCATGGCATATATATATATATATATATATGCATATATATATATGTATATATATGCATATATATATGTATATATATGCATATATATATTTGTATATATATTCATATATATGTATATATATGCACATATATATTTGTATATATATGCATATATATTTGTATATATATGCATATATATATTTGTATATATATGCATATATATTTGTATATATATGCATATATATATTTGTATATATATGCATATATATATTTGTATATATATGCATATATATTTGTATATATATGCATATATTATATTTGTATATATATGCATATATATATTTGTATATATATGCATATATATTTGTATATATATGCATATATATAGTTGTGTATATATATATATGTATATATATATTTGTATATATATATGTATATATATGCCATGGAATATATATATCATGGCATTTGATATATATATATATCACATTTTAGCCCAATAGTCTGTTGATTCCATGTCTTTGCTATTGTGAAAAGTGCTGTGATAAACATTTGAGTCAGGTATCTTTTTGATAAAATGATTTCTTTTCCTTTGGGTAGATGTCCACTAGCGGGATTGCTGGAATAGACTGTTTTTAACTGCCAGGACAAGGTTACACGATTAAGATCAGAAGATGAAGTAATAATAATTATTATTATTTATCACTTCAATATATAATAAAAAATTCATAAGAAAACACTTAACTCTTATTTCTGCATAGATAATTTTCATTTAACTTTTCTTCCTTTAAATACTTTTTGTTGTTTCAAAAGAGTGGTTCTCTTGCTTCCAAACCAAGTCATGATTAACATGGATCAATCTATCTATTTAACAGGGACGAGTGATCCATATGTGAAGTTTAAAATCGGAGGAAAAGAAGTTTTTAGAAGTAAGATAATACACAAGAACCTCAACCCTGTGTGGGAAGAAAAAGCTTGTATTCTGGTTGATCATCTTAGGGAGCCATTGTATATAAAGGTGAGCCATTTATTTGTTTTTTCCTGATAGAAACTGATGTGGAAATCCCTGTTTACTGGGTTTTATCATGTTTCTTTGTCTGATGAGAGTTTTCACCAGAGATGTGTTCTGCTCTTCGCCACTCTAATCTATGGATAATATGATAGAAGTGAGATAGAGGGAAGGAGGAGCTAGCAGGGGCATTCTTCTCCAGGACAGTTCTCTTGCCAGTCATTTAGAAGGATTATGAAGTGTATCCCTTGTGCTTGGTATTGCCAACTGATTTAGTGCAGTTTGGGAGCATATGAAAACAAGTTTCCATATAAGTTAACAGAAAGGAGAACTTACACAGAACCCAGTCTTTCTGTTTAAAAATTGTATTAGTTAAGATCTGCCATTTCTGGCTGCAAGCAAAATGCTTTACTTGGAGCATGAGAAGGGTGAAGGTGATGGGGGAGAAAAATTCCTATCTCTATTAGATTACCAAAAATGGGGGGCTGGGGGTGGGGAGTCTTTCCTCTCGTTTGATGTAATTAAAAGAAAGAGAAGAACTTGAGGAGTTACAACCTAGTTCCTATTCTGAGCCCTATTCCTTGTTTTATTTTCATGCCCAGCTTTTCTTTAATTTACATCTCTAGGTACTTATATTCTTTTTTGCTCCTAGGCTCTGACTGTTCATTCAGTGACCAGACCTTTTTCTACTTTTACCACAACAGCACACATCCCACCCTTTTCCCTAAGTTGTTACTACTGGCACATGAGCCAGAAATCTCATCTTTCAGCAATCACTAGGCATACTTCTTCCCCTCATATCATCATTGTATTACCTCTAGTTGTTTCTTTCCTCCACAGAAAGGAACAAGAAATAATCAAGTTGTTACTGAAATTACAAGAGGGTAGCTTATAAGAAGGTTGAAAAGAGAATCTCATAAGTATACATAAGGATACAGTTAATTTTCTATAAGTCATTATGGGGCAAATAGACACACACTTGCATAATAAATTGTCTCCATTGGACACTGGCTAAAGAAAATCAATTCAATAGCTTTTTTTTTTTTTTTTTTTTTTGCGACAAAGTCTCATTCTGTCACCCAGGCTGGAGTGCAGTGGCACGATCTTGGCTCACTGCAACGTTCATCTCTTGGTTTCAAGCCATTCCCTTGCCTCAGCCTCCTCAGTAGCTGGGATTACAGGTACCCACCACCATGTCTAGTTATTTTTTGTATTTTTAGTAGAGATGGCATTTCACCATGCTGGCCAGGCTGGTCTTGAACTCCCGGCCTCAAGTGATCTGTGCTCCTCGGCCTCCCAAAGTGCTGGGATTATAGGCATGAGCCACCGTGCCCGGCCTTAAATAGCGTTTTTGAACTGTCTTTAACTACATAATATGGGATGGCACAATAACGTTAATATGAGAGTGTGCGTAGCCAACCCTTCTCCCACGAAAGGGAAGACCTTTGTGGTCAGAGATTTTTCTGCCCTGCTCCTCACTTCTAGAGAGAAAGAAATATCCACATGAGAAAAAAAGGAATTATCTTTGTAATAAAGAGCTGAGATAGGCAATGAAAAAGGAATAAAGAAAAGACAAGTGGGCTGTGAAGGAAGTATTATTTCTGGGGTGGGGAGGTGGGAGATCAGGAGACATGAGTTAGAGCAATGGCAGGTATGAAGAAAATGGTCAGGAAAGAAAGCAGGTATTAATAAGGACAGCAACAGGCTGTTTGGATCTCATTAATGTTGCTGAAGTGAAAAATCATGAGAAGAAAGAAGTTTATTTTTAATTACTTCTACTTAGTGGGATATTACTCCATGAAAGAACCATGTGACTGTCCTGTCTTTGAAAGGGTTACATATGAATTTCCTCAAATTATATTAGATATTGGTCAGGTGCTTTTCTTATTCTTTTGTGCTCAAGAATAAGTATTCATCTATGTAGAAATCCAAATGCCAAGATGCATTTTTCAAAAGGAATGTCTTACTAGGCTCAAAAAGAAATAAACAAAAAACTGAAGTACACAAAAAAAGAATGGTGGTGTTCTGACTTGTAAGTGGGAGCTACATAATGTGCACACATGGGCATAGACAGTGGAATGATAAACACTGGACAGTTGGAAGGATGAGGGGGTAGCAAGGGGCTAGATGATGAAAAATTCCTTAATGGGTGCAATGTATGTTATTCAGATGATGGATACCCTGAAAGTCCTGACTTGACTGCTATGCACAATCTACACATGTAACACAACTGTACTTGTACCCCATAAATTTACACAAAATCATTTTTTTTTTTTTTTTTGAGACAGAGTCTTGCTCTGTCGCCCAGGCTGGAGTGCAGTGGCACGATCTCGGCTCACTGCAAGCTCCGCCTCCTGAGTTCACGCCTTTCTCCTGCCTCTGAGTAGCTGGGACTGCAGGTGCCCACCACCTTGCCCAGCTAATTTTTTGTATTTTTTAGTAGAGAAGGAGTTTCACCTTGTTAGCTGGGATGGTCTCGATCTCCTGATCTCGTGATCTGCCCTCCTCGGCCTCCCAAAGTGCTGGGATTACAGGCACGAGCCACCGCGCCTGGCCAAAATTTTTTAAATTGTGGCAGAAATGGTCTTGACTTGAGAGCAAGAATATACATGTATGTATGTATATGTATAAATATACAGTATAGGTGTATATATGTATGTATCTATACATATACTCTATATATATAGTCTGCATATATACAGTACACATACATATACTATAAATGTACATAAACTGTAAATGAAGACAGCAACACTGTATGCAGGCCAGAAGGCTTGGTTAATCACACACTATGAGTAAAGAAACTAAGAAAGCAAGCCCAAAGGTTGTTGGGTTTTTTTTAAATCACTTTGAACTTTCAATATATAAGATTATGTAGCCTAGCCACAATTTAACTTCTACCATACAGAAGAGGATACACAGTTACTTTTAAATATTTTTATACTTTACTTACATTTTTACATTGTCACTTTTTACATTTCTATATGAGAAAGACAATTAAGTTAAATAGAAATCATACAAGTCTCTGAGATACTAGTACACATATAAAATGATGTCACTTTATTATATACAATACTTTATAATATTTTAAAAGTATTAAATATACTTTCTAAATGCTTTCCTATTTTTTTTCAGTTGATTTTCATTTTCTGTAAAATGCCTAGGGCTTTTTTTGAAAGAAAATCTCTAACTTTTTGCTTTATTTTTTCCATTATTTGTGTTCCATTTTTTGCCTCATCTTAGGGGAAGAATCAAATAAGGTACCTTGGTGGAAATAACATTTGAAGTTATTAGAATTTCATAAAAATTGCATCATTTTTATTGTCTCTATGCAGGCCTGTGTGTTTGAGTGACTCAGTTCTGATATGATGCCCACATCCTCCACAACAGATTATTAATCTTGCCCAAAAGATTTCTTAGGGACTAATCAATTCTGTAGTGACTGAGAGTATGAAAATGCATCTGTGAACTACATAGTTAGAACACATTAAGTATACGACCCTCCTATCTATAATTACAGGAAAAAGAAGTCCATCAGTACCCTGTAATCTGATTTCTATCAGTGTAAAAATTACCAAGGAAAAAAAATTCAGTTCTGAGCCAAAGTTATGAAAGTGCATTCAAGTTGAAGTGCTTGTACTATTTCTAGTAAAAACATTTTATTTTTTAAAAAAATCTTGGAACTGTCATTAAAAAAAACTACACAAAATAAAAATATTCTTTGCAATTGGTTGGAATTTATGTAACTTTTAATTTTAATGAAAAGAGCATTTTCTGTGCAGGTGAGAACAAGGCTTGGAGAATTAGCTATAAAATCTATATATAATGTAAGAATAGAAACTGGGAGTTAAAATGCAGTGCTTTTAGTTGAGACAGGAGCCACTTTAGTCTGCCCTGTATTCAGAGTGATGCTCCAGCACACACCTTAGATAATAGGATAAATTTGACACCCATTTCAGTTGAATTCAAATTCTCCATTGTTATTTCACTGACACTATTATCCCAGGTTCACAGTGAATGCCAGAATTACAGTAGAAGAGATAAAAGTAACATAAAGGGGAATATATTTATATAAATTGTTATTTGTTTGGCCTAATCATGAATTGGAGATTGGAGTATTAATTGGGAGCACTATTCTGAAAAATAGAACCATTTTGATAGATTAGAAAAATAATTGTATGGGACCACATGACTGTTTCTAAGATGGTCATTTTAAAAAATTGGACATTTCCTTAAATAATTCATTTCTATCCAAGCTTAAGAGTTAAAGTTGAAAATGTTACTTTAAGCTCTGTTTAAGTTAAGGACCATATTACTGTCCTGTCCAAAATTATTTCTCGGTAGCTTATAAGGACACTTAAAAAATGTCACATATCAATGATTCTCATCCCTGGTTGTACACGAGAGTTATTCATAAAGGTTTAAAGAATCTAGAGGTCCAAGTTTCACTTGACCTGAATCAGACCTGAATCAGAGAAGACTCTGATTCAGGACCTCTGAAGTAGAGTCCAAGCTTCTGTATTTTTAAAACACCTCAATAGGTTATTCTGGGGCACAAGTAGGGAGCCACTTTTCTGGACATTTAAATGGAAACAAATGAGTAGTTGGAATGGGAATAACGTTTCCAGCCATAAACCATAGAGCACCCAAACCAAGGTATTCATAGTAAGATGTTTGTATTATCTCAGATGTTTTGTTTCACATGATTCAAAAACACTTCCTAAATGCATGAATCAAGAATTTCCACTATTTTGGACCCAAAAAAAATCAGCAATGAAACAAAACAAACAAAAAAGCATGACTATACTTGCTTTTGGATTGTGGGCAAAGAATATGGGAAGTTATTGAGTCTCGGGAAAATGAAATCCGCAATCACATCTTCATCATAGTAATGGTTACTACCATGGACTGAGAAGAGTGCTAAATGCCAGACCAATATCATCTCATGTAACCCTAACCCTACAAATAACTGTTTTCGTCTCTTTTGTATGGGTACATGAGACTCAGAGATTAAGGGTTAGTTTATGTCCACCTAGCAGTTAAGTAAGATAGCTTCTGGTTTCCACTAAAGATGGCTAATTGCTAAGGTCATAGTTAGGTTTTGTTTTTGTTTGTTTGTTTTACAATGTCACTTCTATGACTTTTTGGCTTTAACTATTCTTTTACAATGTGATGGTTATTCTGAAACTGCCTTAGTATAAAAATGAGTCTTGGACACTGTTGCTAAGTAGGATCTTATATCTTAGATCACATTATATGATCTCATGAGATGGGTTAGGCCTTTAAAGAAGCTCTAATATGGTTTCAAATATTATTAGTGGCTCATGCCTATAATCCCAGCACTTTGGGGCGCTGAGGTGAGAGGATCGCTTGAACTCAGGAGGTTCAAGACCAGCCCAAGCAACCTAGGGAGACCCTGTCTCTACAAAAAAAAAAAAAAATTTTAAAGCCAGACATGGTGGCATGCACCTGTGGTCCCAGCTCTAGGGAGGTTGAGCCTGGAGGATCCCTTAAACCCAGTAGTTTAAGGTGTAGTGCAAACCTTGATCATGTCACTGCACTCCAGCCTGGGTGACAGAGTGAGACCCTGGACCCTGTCTCTCTTTCTCTCTCTCTCTCTCTCTCTCTCTCTCTCTCTCTCTCTCTCTCTATATATATATATATATATATATTTAGTAAACTAACACTAAAATATTTTTAGATTATTTTGAAATTGGATATACTATCATATATTCTGTGGGAAATAGAAAAATGAGATATTATAAGTATATTATTACTAATTCAATCATAGAAATTACCATGTAAGGAATGCAATAGAAAATTCTAAGGAGCGATGTCATATTACTGAATGAGTGCCAATTAGATACTCCCTGTCATAATTCAGAGCATAATTAGGCACGGACAGTGAACTGCAATAGGAAAGGGTAGACATGGAAGGGCCAAATTATCCGTACATCCATTGTCCATTTCCCCAATACTGGGGCTGGGAAAAATCCTATGGGGATATTAACCATATTGCTTGGTGTCAAGGTAGAACCCAAGGACTGGGCAAGATCAGAGTACGGTATCACAGGGAGGAGATAGAGCTATTTTCAGTTTGTAGACAGAGACCAGGCAAGCAAAATGCCTAGGCAACAAAAGCAGATTCCAGAGATGCTGGAAATAGGGGAATAGATCAGAAATAAAGTTCAAAACAAAGTGAAGACAGAGGTTGAAGAAATAAACGAGGCTGTTCCATCTAGCCCAGGTACAAGTTTCCTAGGATACAGACATACTACTCAGCCAGACAACTACATAATAGAGGCAAGAAGAAAACAATATTCAGAGTGAATAACATAAGAAAGAGATGTTTCTCCATGCAATCAGTAAGCACTGGGGGAGAAGGATGCCGAACATGGATTTAAGGGAATGTCCACGTGGGTGGTCAAAGCAAGACCTGAGTGAGATCCCAAAACTAACACATAGGCCAGCATCAGGGATGTCAGTTTGTAAGGTGCAGAACCTTTGGCAAGGGTAACTTGATGCTGAGACAAAGCCTTGAATTAGAAATCCTGAAAGTCTCCCTGATTCATATCAGGAGTTTTCCTAAAGCCAAGACCAGGACTGAGCTACAGGTGGGTGTCAACTAGCTTTAGCTCTAGAGGGGCAAGTATCATGGCACCTGGAGCCATCATAAGAACCCTAGTTTGGATTCTCTGTTAGGGATATTAGTTGAGGATTTTCCAAATGTGTATCTCTTTTTACCTTTTCTATGGGCTCCCAATTTTTCTCTTTGAAGATCCATATGGTTCCATGGACACTGACTTCACCATTGCCTTTAAAAATAAAGGCAACCTATGCTAGCCATTAAGCCACTTCCATATCTTTGGCCAATAAATAGGCATGTGATATGAGCTGGCCCATCTGGAACGGATTCAGTACTTTGCTGGGAATGCTGGGACAAAGCAGCTCACGCTTCCCCACTAGACTTGAGTAAAGAAGCATGCCACTCTGGATGTCCTGGCAGGCCATTAGCATCCTGGGGCAGCTATTGAGGCAGTAATGATGAGGAAGCTCTGATAGAGAACTGGAGAGGCAGAAATGGGATTAGGCTGTATCATTTACCTTTGATACAGTTAACTACTTCCTCCATCTTAACATTCTTTCTTCAGTTTGTTTTCAGGATACCACTCTCCTGGTTTTCCTGCTCCCTCAGTAGCTGTTCCTTCTCAGTCTCCTCTCTGGATCCTTCTCCCAGACTTTAAAATATGATGGTAGGCCCCACGGCCTAAGCCTGAACTAATGTTCCAGCACTCTTCTCTTGCTTACTACTTTCAGCCTCACTGGCCCCTGGCCAGTTTCCTCAGTGCCTCTCCACTTCCTCTTCCCCCCTTGCAGAAGACACTTTCCTCATCATGGATTGCACTTTCCTATTCCCTCATTATGAAACACACTTTTCCCATCATGGGGAAACACCTCCCACTCTCGTTGTCCTTTCTGAACATCATGTATAAATAGTAGTTCCCATCACTCCAGTACTCTGAAATATTCTTCTCCTTAACATTTATCACTGCTACTTGGCATATGTATTTCTTTATTGTCTGTCTCTCCCCACCCCATATGTAAGCTCCAAGAAATCAAAGACTTTGACTGTTTTGATCACTGCTGTATTTCAAATGCCTAGAACAGTACTTGGAACATTGTGGGTGCTCACCAAATATTTTTCAAATAAATGAATTAATAAGTGCATGAATAATTTGAACCGCCAAATTAAAACTTCCCAGAAGCCATAATTACCTATAGACATTTCTGCAGTCATTTGAGCTAGAAATTGAAGCCAGTTGAGTTGAATTTTGTGTTAAAAACAAAAACAAAAGCATTTTAACTGATACACTTCCCAATGGATTTTTAGTAAACAGTAAGGTGAATTTGTTGTTTTAAATTAAATATTTCTTGTTCTAAAGTCACTTGAGAATGCAGAAGGTGTTACCAAGTCCCAAGCAACTTCTACCTGTTACCTAATGTTTCCAACTAGTGGTGGGAAGGACCCATGAAAGCAAGGATCTCATCTAAATCATTCATGTTTTAACTCTCAGTGCTTCTCTTAGAGTGGGTGCCTAAGACATATTTGTGAAATTTAAACACACTCTGTTTATGACACTCAATACAACAAGATTTGAATCTCGTGTCTTCCTAGCCCTAGGATTTGGGGGGAAAATAACATGTGTTTTTTTCAGCTTTGGATTCATTATCTGAAAAATAGAAACAACAATACCTTGTTAACCAGGTTGTGCCTAGTAAATATTGAATAAACATTAATAAGCATGAACTGTGCTTGTTGTTAGTGCAGTGGGAGTACCTTTTCCTATTTTATCTCTCTCCTATGCTCTGTATTTCTAAAGCTCACTTAGAGCAATGCTCCCTCTGACAAATAGTGTGTAGAGCTTGGAACCAAACAGCATAGCTAATAATTTCATTAATGCATGGATTCTAGTGTTTCCTTTTCTTCCCATGTTTATGCCTTTGCAGATTAATAGGAATTGAGAGTTAAAGTAGACATCTAGCATTAGGATAATAGGAAAGACTCTCACTAGGAGAGTGAAAAGAGGTTGGATGTTGAATCGCCCAGTTGGGCTGTCTGCACTAATAAATTCACTGGATTCACAGCTCTCAACCTCATGTGTGTGGGTGAACCTCAGGTGATCTCACTGATTATATGCCACCTATTTTCTCCCCCAAGATTTTAAGCCTAAGGATGATATGATTAGATGAGATTCCACAAGAGAAATTTCTCCAATGTTTTGGTGTAAATTGTATATTGTGAAATACACTGCTGCAGCCACTTGCAAATACAGAGATGTCAGTTGCATAAGATGTGCAGTACATGCATATGCTATACCACTGAGCAGATGACTAAAGCTCAGAAGTGTAATTGATCAAGGAGAATATTTATTGCAGGAGTGCTGAGCTTTCTACAATAAGTGCATTCTTGAAAGGTTGTATGTAAATCAAATGACTGCAAATTGAATAATTTAAAAGGCATTAAGGGAGCTTATTACTTAAATAAATCCCCATGTGACTCTTCAAATCTAAGAATCCTTTTGTAATGCAAAGTATTTATCTTTTTATTTAAGTATCAATTTTTTACATATTAAATTTTCTTAAATTGAAGTACACCTGTAATAGAGAAAAAAATAAAAAGAAAAAAAAAGAGCAACTGATTCAGGAATGCTCTGCTTTGAGCTTTCTAACTGTTGTGCCAAGAATTGAGCATAGGAGTGCTGGGCTGTTGATTCAGCTTCATGGATTCTCACATCCTGGAGCAACCAAAGGCCCAGGTCATCCATTCAAGAGCAGATTTATCTGGTTATGCTCAATTACTCCAGTGTTCAATACAAATGTTTTCTACCTGAAAAGGTCAGGAAGTGACAGCTCTAAATTTCATCTGGTAGCGTTTTTTTTTTCCATCGTAAACGGTTTCCCTGATCTTCCTTACTTACTTCCTTACTTTCTCTTCGTTCTCTCTTCTTTTCCTTAAAACACTTATCAGAATTTGTAACCACATATCATCTATGTGCTTCCTTGTTTAACGTCTGTCTCCCTCACTAAACTGTAAGCGTTGAGAATGGCATTTTTGCTTACCACTGTTTACTCAGTTCCTAGCATATTGCCTGGCACATAATAAGTACTTAGCCAATATTGGCTGAGGGAATGAATGAGTGACAAAATTAATAGATGGATGGAAGTTAGCCAGTTCCCATTTACTTAGCATCCTTTGGAAGTGGTCCTAACTGATCTAGCTCTGAACTATCCCTCCAGCATCCTTCCATTATCTGTCTCTCTCCATTTGCTTCAACCCCACTGGTTTCTTGCTGATCACAACTGATGTGTGAAACACATCAGTCCCTCTCCTGGGCTTGCCGTTTCCTTCAGCTGGAGGGCTCTTGCTCTTGCTAGCATGCGTACTCCTTCCCATTATTTGGGTGTCTACACAAATATCCTTCCTCAGAGAGGAGTTCCTGGTCTCCTCATCTAAAATAGCAGCTCCCCACACACCTCTTAGACATTTATTTGCTCCATAGCACTTATAACTGAACTGTATTTAGGTATTTATAGGCCATCCCAGACCCTCCATGTACAATCCAAGAGGTCAGAGACATTGTCTTACTTACCATAGAGTGAATAAGAACCACACAAAACACAGAGAAGATACTGGATAGAGTATTGATAAAAGGAAGAAACGCATTATCTCTTTCTTTTCTTTTCATTTTAGTTTTTATGTTGTTAGGTATATTAGTATTATCCCCCAGTAATTGTTTGTGACAATAAAACTTTATTTTAACTTAACCTTAGTATAACTTTATAAAGTAGGTTAATCATAGTATCTTTTTACTTATTTGTATGTTTAAAGTGGCATTGTCCTATATCACAAAATGTATCTTTAATGGCCTAAAAAATACGAAGATATTGGAATCATATTCTCATCAATCATAGCCCAATATGAAAGACATACTTGTTGAATTCTATGCTTTTTCCCACATTTTTGAAGATTTACTATATTTTATTTGATTATGTTACATCTATCTTAAAGTTCTGTTTGATATAATCCATCAGTAATATTAAGTAAAAAATAAAATGTAGTTTTCTTTAAGTGTTTCGTGAGACTCTAATATTCCAAAGTACAAAAACAATTATTTTAAAATACAAATATTAGTATGCTTTTGGTGACATAGACAACCAACATTTTATGACCAAGACATTATCACATAAAGCTTATATTGGAGATATTTATAACAAGGCTTTTTCTCTTTGGCATCTCAGGTATTTGACTATGATTTTGGACTACAGGATGACTTTATGGGCTCAGCCTTTCTGGATCTGACACAATTGGAGTTAAACAGGTAACTTTTGAACTGCTGTAATATCACCACCCCTTGTCATGCAGTGGGCTTGTGTAACAGAAAATGTCAGCTGATCTGGGGTCTAGTTCTGTCATTTATAGTGGTGAGCCTTCCTGCTAGTCAGCCTTTCTCAAATCCATCTTCCTCACTTACCCAGTGGAAATAATAGCATCTTCCCTGACTACCTCATTCAACAACTTTTCAACCGAAAACTTCTTGGATACCTACTTGCTCTGTTCCCCAGTACTGTGCTAAGCACCAGGAATCGAGAGATAAAAGAGACATTCCTTCCTTTCATATTGCCCATATGGTTTTAATGGGGCATAAAAAAAGATTATGCACGTTAGTCATAATTATTAAGAATTGGACTACTATATATAAAATGCAGTGTGTACACTTTGCTTCAGAAACAGCAACTCTCTTGTCACTCGAGCCATGGTAGAATCTGATTTTGCCATTGCCGGATTACCAAGGAATGCTCCTAAGGTGGAGGCAGGTTGGTTGTATTTGCTCAGTTACACTACTTATCATTGCTTCCCTAGTTGCAAAGTTACTATTGTTACTAATATTAATCATTCCTTACACCTAATAATGGGCTTATATTTTTCAAAGTGAATTTCAACATAGGAACTAAGAATTGATTTGTATTATAGAATAAAAAAATACCATTAGAAAAGATCATGCATGCTGAAATAGGTTGCAAAGGGAACTGTGAAACCTTCTTTGATGGTTTTAAGGAGAAGGAATTCCTGGCTGTTTTGGATGATCATGTTACATCATGCCCCAGGGATGATGGAAAACAGGAAAGCAGAGTAATGAGCCAGATCACTACTTTCTATTTCTGTAAATGTAGATGACTAGAGAAATATAAAGTGTAGAACTCACTTATGCATTACAATCAACTTAGTTTGAGCACAATGGCTTATTGGTCTTCCAATAGTCATTGTTGCCTCAGACTGGACAAAAGAGCAGCCTTTCCTGTACTTTTTCTGTAAGTCCTTCATTCCAGCCTATAACCTAGCACAGGCTCACACCTCCCTGCCGCTGTAGGAAGTGCCCTAAGTGGTGTTGCATGGAGTCTATTATCATGAAAACTGAGCTCAATCTGGAATAGACTGTACTGTTCTTCTGTAAACCTCACAGGTACTTTCTCTTAGACCTCTGCATAAGGATATCAAGTGACTAGACTTAATCCCAAAGCATAAATTTATCTTGTTTCCTATGAAAGATAAATCATCGGTGAAAAATAATTTTAAATGGTGACAATTTGGAATAATTTCAAAAATTAAAAGAGATTATTTATACATGAGCATTTGGTGTGTATTTTGCTACATAACATATTTTATGTATTTTACTAGCAATTCCCTCTCCTCAAAACCACATAAACATCTAATTACTACTTTTTAAAATAACCTATTTGTGTATGCTGTTTTATTCTAAATATAAATCAATAGTCTCTGGGTATAGAAAAAGTGATAACAATTGTAGCCATATAAATATTTATGTTATTATACTATGTAATACATTGAGGTACCTCTGAAAGAATAATACATCATAAGGCAGTTGTAAATGTTCTTATGTTTTTATCATGTAATCATTAAAAAATGTAATGAAGTTTTTTCTATTAATTTTTGTATGTAATCATTACATGAAAATGAACTAAGTCAGACTGTAACCCCATATGTGTATTTAGTGTATATGTGTGTGTATGTATATGTGTATATATATACACATATATATGTATATGTGTATATATATATACATATATATGTATATATATATATTTGCGTGTGTGTGTGTATGTGTATACACACACACACTTGTGTATATGTATGGCGCTACTCTCTGTGGGTTTAGAGAGCATAGAAAGGAGACTGATAGGCTTCTTAATAGGGTTGTAGTCTTGACCTTTTCAACCACTTTCTGGAACCTTCATGGGTTTAGAAAGCAGAAATTCATCTGGTGTATTCAGATCTACACGCAGTTTATTGGATAACTTAATACACTGATAATATTTTAATAACAAAAATTGTCCCAAGAAAGTAAAGGAAGACAAAATTACTTTTTATCTTAAAATAATAAAGCATTAATAAAAATATATTTGGCTTATTCATTTAATGACTGTTCAAAATCTAAATATTTTCTATCACAGGCCCACAGATGTGACCCTTACTCTGAAAGATCCTCATTATCCTGACCATGATCTTGGAATCATTTTGCTCTCAGTCATCCTTACCCCTAAAGAAGGAGAGTCCAGGGATGTGGTAAGTTCCCCCACAGCCTAGTAGGAGCTCTTTCTTGTTTGAAAGTTGTGAGCCTTTCTCTGGACCCAGAGATGATAATAAAGAGAAGCTGCCTATGAAAATATGCCCTGTTCTTTGTTTCTGTGAGTATCCTAGGTATTGCTCATTCATGCTTACTGTATCTTTTCAACTCTAATTTCCTATTACATCCTCCAGATCAGAACCTCTTGTTGTAAATAAGAAATAGATTTGAATTTTTATTTTATTTCTCAATTTCAGACATGCTATATTATAGGCAAATATTAGTATTCATTTGGGAAATACATTTATTAGTGAATTGAATACTTGGAATTCCACATTACGGTATCCAGACCCTGCTGTTTTGACTGTATTGTCAGGTGTACCATAACAGAGAAAATGAGGTGAAATTATAACAGAGTTTCTGCTTTCTGGTATTTGTTTAGTGAATGATAAGTGAATACTTTTCATCTTCTTGATGGGCTTTCATGTTGATATTACCCATTTTTCAGCACTAGCTGTCTGTACGTCCTTGCACACCATGCTGCTATGAGAAACTGACAAGGGACACAGAGGACCTAATTACTCCCCCACAGTTGAAGTGGCATTAAAAAATATCAGTCTTGACCCACATCAGTACGCTTGCTAGTGTACTTTCTGTCACAACTTGCCAGAGATTATTTATTGGACTCAATGTGCTTCCATGTGCCTGGGAACTACTCTAACTAGCTCTGATTATAACACATTTTAGTAGTAGACATAATTTTTTAGGCAAGTCCAAATACTCTATTTCAGCAATGTATGTATTGCTGTCCTAAAATAATGCATGATTAAAGTTGGTTATAGATTGTCTGCTGGAAAGGTATTGTTGGCGTTTTCCCCTAGACTGCAGGTAAAAATAGTGAATTACAACATCAAATTTGGAAATACTTTAAACTCATTGAAAAATTCACCCTTTCAAGAAGTATTTCTCTCCCTCCTTTTTAGAAATTTAATGATGAACACATACGTTTACATATAATATTTGCTAAATTGGGTTAAGTATCCATACTTCATTCACTGAGGAAGAAATTTTTCTTTTTAAATAAGAATTGCCAGATAATAATACCTAGTGTGAGAACTTAGCTTGGTAAAATTATGTATGTATGTGTGCACATGCACCCTTGTGCAGAGGGGTGAGTGAGAAACAATTTTTACAAAAAAGTATCTAGAAATGAAAGCCCGTCATCTTAGAAGTCACTACTTCAGAAGACATTATTTCACTCAGGGCAAGCCAGGAAGTATAACCTAGCTGGCTAATCCATACATAAGAATCAATTATAAATGTGCATTTTGTGTTTTATTTAAATGATTCTAGTATTCTCCGAGAACCTACTTTAAGCCAGTTCCTGTGCCAGACACTTAGGATACAATAGAACTTAGACCCAGTGGAGAACCCAGGAATCAATTAGTCACTGATGGAAACAACTGTTTTAAATGTTGTGAAAAAGAGGTACATATTGCTGAAAGAGCAAATATAGGAAAATTTTTACTAGCCAGGGGTTAAGGATTCTCTAAGGAAGCCAAATAAGACCTGAGATATGAAGTGTAAAATAGGCCTTAATAAAGCAAAAACAAGAAAGAGAGGAGGTGTTTAAAGCAGAGGAGACAACACACACAAAGGCCATGTGACAAGAGGAACCATGTTGCATTTCAAGAATTAAAAAACTACTGGAGTTTAGAGAAGGTGGAAGCAAAGACAGTGTGGGTGATCAGAGTGCATAACAACACTGGGGTGGAAGGACAATGTCCAGACTGTGTAGAACTCATTGACCATGTTAAGGTTTGGGTCTTTCCCCAAAACACTGTGGGGGAGCCATTGAAAGATCTGTAAATCAAAAGCAGTAGAATCATGTTTGCCTTTTGAAAATACCTCTGTGGCTGCATTGTAGAAAACATATTGAAGGGGTAAGAATGGATACCTGGAGACCAATTAGGAGGCCATGGCAAAAATCCAGGTGAAAGATGATGGAGGTTTGGATTAGAACTGTCAGAGGTAGAGATGGAGGGAAACTGGTAGGTTTACCTATAGGAGGTAAAAATCAACAAGACTTGGTGATAGAATATTCTTATGCTGGGGTTCTTTGTTATTTTAATGAAGGACAGCACTTCATAAATCAAGATACCTAAGTGCCTGAGATCCTGTGTATTCCCAGACCATCTAAACTTGCAATATTCCTGGAGATTGGGATGATATAGCAGCGATTGTGGTGATTTGGGTGATTTGATAATGTATAGTCAGCTGAATTTTTACATTAAAGGGATGTTTATTAAATACTCTAAAATCAAACTGAGGGTTTGAGGGAGCAAGTTACTATCAGGAGACCTTACGATGAAGCTGCTGAGTTGTTCTAAATTACACAGAAATATGACAGCACAGGCAAAATAGTTTCCAACATTATTTTTTCTTCAACAATCCTTGCAAAAATCCTTCAGTCTCCATGGTTGCTCAAACTTATTTTTAAAATGTAAAAATTATCTAAAAATATTACAGTGCCTGGGAGCTGATCATTAGTAAGTTATCAAACACAAATAAAGAAGAAAGTAGGTGGGTTACATGAAAGCAGTTATACATCAAAAATATGGTTTTCTTCATCTTCTTTTCCTCCTTTTCCTTTCTCTTCATCGTATCTCTTCAGCCACATTCACCCTTAACACAAAAAGTTCCTCCTGAAATCCTCATGCTATTTTCTTGGCTCAAATCCCTTTGACTACCCCAGATTTTTTGGAAGAAATCCTTCCAAAGGTATTTTTCATCTCAAAAAGTTTTTTTGCATTCATTACCTTACTTCATGCCCTCTTCTTTCAAAGTTCCAGAGAGCACTGCATTCACTTTGCTGCATTAAGAGGGAAATAGCGTCTTCTCTCCTCCTATCCTGTTATTGACTCTCTTGTGGCTTCTTTCTTCATCAGAGAAGCAAGTGGCTCAACCAGGGCTTAGAAAAGGCACAGTGATCAAGTCTGTTCAGAGCCAGCCTCTGGCTGGTGAACATCCTTGTACTTCCTGTCCTGATCTCACTCACCCCTAAGGAGGCAGAGAGAAGGGTAACCAGTGTGGCTATCTTGGCTCATCCTCGTGGGTACAATCAATAGCTGAGGCATGGGCTTGGTTGTAGAGAAACAAGTGGGGCCAGAGGAGAGGGGAGAAAGGAGGGAGGGGAGAAAGATTCCCCCATTGGAAATTCTGCTGGGATTCAGTATCCTAGCTATTCTGATGTCCTAGATTTGAATCTGGGTTTCTAAACATATGCTCTACATTATGAAAATGCCCAAAAACACATATAAATTGGCTTTTCTTCTGTGTTTGTCCTACATTGCAGTTCTATAACTATTTTATTAAGCTCTCTAGAACTGGTTCTTATATTTACCAACACTGGTTATTAGGTTTTGAAACTCAAAATAAGAACCATTTGTAGGCATCTGTATAAAACAAAATACTTATTGATCATCTACTAAGCATTATACCAGGCTTTATAACTTCCTCATTCTTCTTCTAAGTGTTCAGTGACTTGTGGCTATTTCTCTAATTAAATTGAAACTCCTGGTGAGAAACTTTAAGGCTCTCCAACAAGCAATGTATGTTCCCTCACTGTAACTTCTGTCCCAGCCATACAAACTCCTTCTCAGTTCACCTTCTCTCAAGTCCAGGCTTTCTTCAGTGTTACTTGTGTACCTAAAATATGCCTATAGTTCACCTCACCTCCATCCTACGTCCTATCACTGATACAAGGGGAAATATATATATATAATACATAAAGTCTTCCTTATGATGACTTCAAAAGACCAAGGGAGGGTGTATGGTTTTTTTTCTTACCTCAATATTCAAATCCCTGAGGTTGTCACAAACAATATCAAATCATGATTAAATAATGATTTAATTTTCTTTTGTAAGTTCTTAAAATTAGTATATTAATGATAATCTGCTTGAAATCAAGCCTTATTGCTCTTCCCATGGAATTCGAATGATGACAATAAATTATAAACCCATCACTGTATTTTCTTCATTCTGTAACATGTCAAGTATCAGCTTAATAAATTCTCTGGGCTACATTTGAAGTTTCTTGGTTAAAAATCAGAGATCCAATGTATCTTAAAGTTAAATTTTTAGATATCTAAAAAACATAGCATACTGCATCTGTAAAAATGGCATGCTGAACTTTCACAAATTATTCAGAAACAAATTTTATTTAGAGAAATTTAAGCTAAAAATGCAGCAAACCAGAAATCAGTTACTGAATGCTTCACAATCCCCAGAAAATGAGAATTATGTAAGAAAGGAATAAAGGCAAATTTTACATTGACCCTCACAGAGCAAAATTACAGGAGTTCTGTTCTCTTTGATTACTAACTCAGAAATAATTTATTTCAAGCTTTTAGCACTGAAGATGTTAGTTCAAAAACCACATGTTTATTCTTATGCCTGTGTTGATAAAACTTTGCTAAATATTTTATATGTATTAAAAATGGAGAATGAAAGAGATGTGTTTCAAGAGCCTTTTACAGATAAATCCTAACAATCAAATAGGAAATAGAACATTAATGTGAATAAAATGCTCTGGCAAGGTAGGAAGAAATGAATAACTGGAAGTAGAGAGTCCTTAGCATTACAAAGTGGTAAGATTTCTAAAACAGTCATCTTGTGAGTTTTTTATGCACTGTTAATAGTAACAATACGTTCCATGAATTATGCAGTTGGGATGATTTCTCCTTGTGTGGATTGCCAGTTCTAGAAATCAGTAAAAGTGAAGAATGAGTTGAAAAACCTATCAGCCTACTGAATCTACTAAAGCCTCTAAAATATTCAATGTCTAATTGCAGCAATTTGTATTTCATAGGTGCCATATCAAAATCTTCTCCATTGAGGTCATGATTGAGTCTTTAAAAAAAAATTTCCAGATGTGAAGATATATATATATACATTTTAAGTTTCCAGCATTGTGTGTACAAGAAACCAAAACCTCCATGGAGGGCATGCTGATGAGTTGCATGGCACAATTGTCATTTCTGTTTTGATTGCATGTCCTATTTTTGAACCTGTAAAAGTGTGTAGTGCATATATGTGTGTCCTATATATGGCAATTTGTCTGATAGTGTGTTTGAGTTCTTTCTGGCTCTTTTTCTAGCAGAGTTCAATCCACAGCTTTCTTCATTGGAGAATTTGTGAAATAAAAGTGAGTTAATTTGTGTTACACACTCTCTTAAATAACCTAGACCTACAAATTGCTTGCCTAAGGCTAAAAAATAGAAAATTCAAAGAAACATATGAATGATCTCAGTTGGCCTTTGATGAGTAAAAAAAAAAAAAAAAAACTTCTTTATCTTGGATTAGTTTTGATATTCTTCAGAATTATTACACAGCCAACATTTGAAGAAATATCTACCTACAAAAAGTTGATATATGTATGCTTTACAAGATGTATGTTACTATTGTATCTAATTCTGTGATTTCTTTATATGTACAGTAGTTATATAATCGCCTTAAAAAGTCACTTCAACAAAAGATAAAAATTAAAAAATGGATTGAGATCGTGGAGTCTTTTAAAAACAATTACTTCTGCAGCTCTATCACAAGCCATATTTTTATGCTACTTCATTCCTTTTACTGGCTTCAAGGAAGTTGAGCTGCTAATGAAGAATTTGAATTGTACTATAATAATATCAGGCAATAATCCTTTCAAAAATTAATTCATATGTTTCTCAGCTGAAGTTAAGATCATAGAGCAAAAAAATAAATCTTATTTTTCTATAATTTGCTTCATCTTCTATCTTTCACAATCCCCAATCTTTCTTCTCTAACATGTCTCACAGATAGCAAAGAAAACATTATTAATAGTATATATATTAAATTTTCTTTTTAATTTTTCTACTGTTTTCAGTTTTATTGAATCGACCTTAACTCAACTACCTAAAAGAAAAAGGGACTTGGAAGTGAGATACTTAAACCCATTGCTTTGGTAGTAGATTTGGCTCAAGAGGCAGAAATGTTATAAAATCTAGGGTCATTTTGAGAGTTACTGGATATAGTAATAGAACTTTAGATACTGAATTAGGAAAATAGTGAATGGGTTCTCATAACTGCTAAATCTTTCCTATTTATACTTAGGGTAATCACTGACTTTTTATTGTATCAGTTTCTCAATCTGAAAAATAAAACCATGCAGCCTGCTTATAAAGCTGATTTTGAGAGACAGGACAAATACTGGTCCTATGTTTTGTTTACTATAGAAGGTTAATTGTATGTGGTCCTTGTGAGTCAGGGGATGTGACTTTGTGGAATCCTTGTAATATTGGCTAGTGTTGCCATGAGATTTCACTCTTTCTAATGTTCTAAGGCCCTTTTACATAGCATAACATTTCTTATATAATGGAATTTTATATTATAAAATTCTTAGATGCTAGATAATGATGATAAGTGACCATGAATTGTAGATTGTACTTTTTATGTATCTTAATAGTTCTTGATTGATTTGACTCAAAATATCATCTCTAGGATATACCATTCTTTGTCCATTGAAACTCTGCTTGGTGAGAAAGTTGAGTGTTTATTATCCAACTCTTATGGGGCAGTTTTTGTAAATATGGTATACCACTTAAATATTTGGTTTCCAGTTGCCTTTTGGTGATGATGGAGGAAGTGATGGTGGTGGTGATGATGATGATGATACTGATGATAATAAATCATGTAACATCAAAAGTAAAGATTTAGTACATGTCCCCCTAGATGGCCACCTCTATAACCCAATGCTGGGATTTGTTGCTTCAAAATGAACTGGACATTTAGTACTTTGAAAACATAAAGTATTTCTATAATAGTATTTGATAACAGTGCTTTGCAGTTTCCTGACTTTAAAAAAAAAAGTAGGCGTGATGAGGAATCATTGTAACCTTAGGAAATCTATTATTCTTTTATGTTTTGGTCAACATTTAACAGTCTTTGTTAAGGAGGAACATATAATTATCTTTGAAAACATAAAAGAGGAACATATAATTATCTTTGAAAATGTTACGCTAGTCTTAGTTTTTACCCTAGAATGTCTAAATTCATTCTTGTGGTTTAGGTTAAAGGTTGCCCTCATCTTATATTAAAAATCTTTTCATTTTTGTGTTATTCTAATCCATGAATAGTTTCTGACATGGTTCTTTTTTATGGTGAATCCTCCTGAAAGAGATACAGTTCTTAAAGTACATTTCCCTGATACACAAATATGGCACAAGCACTTTAAGCTATATTCCTTGCCCTGAATATTTCCTATTCTCCACTTCATCTGCCTTAAACATAATAGTAAAGCAAAGAGAGGGGAAAGAGGTTAATCAGGAAGGTTAATACTTCAGTGTTCATTGAGAAATTTTTTAAAGTGAAGAGAGAAAACAAAAAAATTCGTTGGGCTTTTATGATTTAGTTTATTCAAGAGATTAGTGATCTTGGGGATGCATTACAAAGCTCTAGAACCTTAATTAAAACTTTTGGCCATACATATTTCTTAGTATGACACAAGCTAACTAATTTAAAGGATATGCTTTCACTAAACGTTTAGCAGGAAAATACACTAGTAGCCATCACAGTATGCAGCATTTGTTTTTAATTGAAAGCATTTGTAGGCCCTGATGTAGTTAAAGATTAACTGGAAACAGAGACAATTCTACGATGCCATCCAAGCAAAAGATTTTGAATGTGTTTGAAGAGAAAAATTATTATATACCTGTTCAAGTCATGTACAACCTCAACCTCCACCACCAAAAGGAGCCATTGGAAATTATGAGACTCAATGTGTTTTTTTTCAGTCAATAAAGGCATCCCGATACTGTTCCTTTTTTTTTTTTTTTTTTTTTTTTTACAAAGGAATAAATCAAATGAACTCTCACCAGAAAGACTGCTGGAATGTTAAAGTTGTTTCTCTAGTTGTGTGTGCGTGGCAAACAAGTTTTGTGTTGTATAATTGCTGCAGGAACTGTTCGCTGTTTCAAGGGCTAATAAATGTTTCCGCTAAAAAACAACTGGCTGCCCTATTCTGTTCTTGAGTGAAAAGATAATGAAAATGCTTTATTTTATTTACAGACAATGCTAATGAGGAAGAGTTGGAAAAGATCAAGTAAGGTAATTCTTAGCTTGTGATCTTTCAGCTTTTCTTGTTGAGCAGAACTATCATCTGCTTTCCCAGATCTCTCTCATCTCTTCAAAGTATGCTACCAGATTTCATACTATTCAATTGTTACTTTTCCCCATAAATTTAAGCCAACCATGTGATGTTTTTTAAATAGAAATCACACCGATCAATAGCTTCAAATCATCCTTTCACTATTCTCTGGTCACTTCTCAACATCATTCTCAGCATCTGGTCTCAACTATATATGCAACAGGGTCTAGAAAATTGCTCTGAGCCAGGAATAAAATGATGAGGCTAGGGGAGGGACAACTCCAGACAGAAGAAAGATTCGCACAATTTATTTTATTTTGGGGGGTCACAGAAAATTGAGTATGAGGCTTTCTAAACTCAGAAATTCCTGTATCATTACATCTTTATAGTATACAATAAGAACAATTTTTCCCCATTGTCTCTTCTCACTTTAAGAAATAAAGTGAGAGGAGTTTATGGTTCCTGTAACTTACTAAGCCCTGGCTCTTCTTCAACTTGTAAGATATGCAAAATATAAACTAAGTGTTTAATTTGTTCAGTGATGCTGCCACTGTTGGACACAGATCGATATCAAGATGAAACAATTTTTATATGAATATACCTTGAAATAAATCAAAACGATTTTACTTGTAAAAATCTTGTCTGCTCAAATTTCTACTTAGAGTCAGTATTCCTTTTTAATAATGACTAATTTTTTTAGACCCTGGAACATGACAGTCTTTTTCCTTCCATTCTGATTGAATCATGCTTTTACCTAAGCTTTTCTTTAATTTTGTCATTTTTATTACTGTGAATTAATATATATCAAAATGTTTTTATATTTATGGTAATGACTTAATCTGTTTGAACAAGTGTCTCTTACTGTACATTTTCTCCCTAATTCCTATGGCATTAATGGCATTAATGACCAAAGAATAATTTGGCTTACAAAAAAGTCAGGGCTCCCATTAAAAATCACCTTTATTATTTTAATAAAATGAAAAAGGCTTATTAAGGAAGGTTGCTGAATATTTCTAACTTAATGTTCACTGTGATTTTCACTAATCAAAATAAAGTTTCAAGATGTTTTGAAGAAATATTTGCACTGTTCATATTTGTATTACTTTTTCCTTTACAGTTATACTTTACAGTTATTGTTATATTAAAAGTGTATATATTTTTAAATTCATATAATTGGATATATTTGTGTAAAAAACATGACAACCCATCAATATGTAACAATATTCTTTCAGATATATTTAACATGTAATGCTAGAGCAGGATATTATATAATACTTAGTATTAATTAATGGGAATAATCCATTCTATTGTATAAAAGGAAGATTAGAAATGAAGATTCTGCCAGGCACAGTGGCTCATGCCTGTAACCCCAGCACTTTGGGAGGTCGAGGTGGGTGGATTACTTGAGGTCAGGAGTTCGAGACCAGCCTGGCCAACATGGTGAAACCCCATCTCTACTAAAAATACAAAAATTAGCCAGACGTAGTGGCACATGCCTGTAATCCCAGCTGCTAGGGAGGCTGAGGCAGGAGAATCGCTTAAACCCTGGAGGCAGAGGTTGCAGTGAGCAGAGATCATGCCATTTCACTCCAGTCTGGGCAACAGAGTGAGACTCTGTCTCAAAAAAAAAAAAAAAAAAAAAAAATTCTTCTTTAAAAATTATATTAAATGTATATTTAAATGTAAATATAATTTTAAACATAAATTAAGTAAAAATATATAACATATTTTTGTTCCATATACAGAAAATTTAAAGTGAATAATAAACATCTATCCTCTACTGTTTTATATCTAAAATTCTTGGAGTTTATATTTATTATTAGCAATCCATTTATATATTCGAACGGATGCATTTTTCAAGCTTCCAACTGAAGATACAGAATTCCTATGTCTAACAGCACTCATTTGAGTACTTGGCAGATTATATTTAGTACAGCGTTAACATAAGCTTTTGGGTTTTAGCCTAAGGGATTTTCAACTTTGAAAAATTTAATGGGGATATTGAATACTAAGTGAAGTAAAATCAGTTAACTCATTTGATTTTTCTTTTCTGTGAGAACATACTGAACACCTGCTAATTCATTCAGATTTTTTACTGTGCCCTAAAACATTTGCCATATTCATCTATATTAGTGTTACAAGAGCGCAATGTTAAATCCAAAATCGGGGGAAAGTTTGACATTTCAATTACTAGCTAGTCCACCTTCCTTCACACACTCTGCTACATTGAAACTGCTCCCTGAATCTTTTCCTCCGGTAAATTGTGCTTCCTGGGAAACTAAGGGGTAAGGGACTATACTGTGTAGCTTTATAGATTTTACTATGTTACTGTTTTATGAAAATGCATCATTTTCTAAATATTTCAATCTTCTTAAAAATTCTTGTCTGAGTACAGATTTTTCGTTTTTTATTTTTGGAAATAGGGTGTAATTTTATGTGCATTACATTTAAATATGGGTATTTCATATATGATATAACTATGTTCAAATTCAAAGGTAAATTTTTCATAAAAACACAGATCATTTTCTTCTTTGGAATCTTGATTTACAGAATGAGGTCTCCCGCATCTTCATGGCAGGGCTTTGGCATGCAGCCTGTCTTTGAGTGTCAATGGTGAATAGATAATCTAAGAAGTGTAAATTTTGTAGCAAAGACTTAAAGATAGCCAGTGTTGTTAGAAATTCTCTCCAGTATGGAGTTTTTCTTCCTTTACTTGGTTTCTTTCAGAAATAATGTACCTACAGAGGAAGAAAGGCTAAATCGACTCGGTTGTTGTTCTTTTAAATACGCCTGTCTCCCCGCTCTGCAATGTGAATCAGCTCATGGAATTTCCTGTTCCTTAAGCATCTACTCGTCATTTTCATCATCTTGACTTTCTATGATGAAATTTCTTTACCTGTTTTTGTAACCATACTTCTGCTAATAATAGGCTCTTTCAATGGAAATCTTATTACTTGTGGCACTCACATAATGTGGGGTTGTATTTAACTATTGAAATCAAAAGAAGAATCGCCAGCTTGAGGACAGGGAGATCCTAATTGCTGTTCAGGACTAACTTATTTTTTCTTTTTGGAGGTGGGGGGCGGGTAATTGTATTACCACTTAGTAATACATAGGAAAAAAATGCATCTAAACTTACCTCTGAAAAAGAAGAATGTATAAAATATGCATTATATTTGAATGGCATATAAACAAGTATATAGGTATAAATTCCATAATATTGCCTCTTCTAGGGACAGAACCATCCTTCAAAAGACTCATTCTGGTTTTCCACAAGCACACTTTCTATTACGCACATTTTGAATTCTGCCCCACACTCAGCTGTTATAGAATTATGTTATTTTAAGAAGAAAGGGGCTGATGTCTCCTTAAACTTGGGCAACAGAAGAATTATCCAGGTCAAAGAGTTACACTTATGTGACAAAATGTGTTTTAGCAGAGAAATGGTAGTGCTTTGGATTATTGCAATATTTTATTCTTTAGAAGAAGCTTATCACTGATAATTTATTCTAAGGTTAAATTATTCATCAAGAAAGTTTCATGAACTCAAAAGAGATGATTTATGTGTATTTTGTGAATACATTTTGTGGGGCCAAGCCAAAAATGGAAAAATGTAATGAAATAATTGGCTCTATCAAACAATAAGCAGTTATGGTTTTACATTACATCGTGTGTGTGTGTGTGTGTGTGTGTGTGTGTGTGTTTTAACCTAGAATAATGAATTTACCAATGGGTAAAGGTGAGATAATAATAAACTTATGTGCTTTCAATAAATTACTTCAATTATATAACAAATATTATCGTGATGATATAAAAACATACGCATTGCAATTCATATTTTTGACAATAACAGTTTAGAATAGTTTTTCTTTCAGAAAAGTTCATCCTTTGAATAATATAATACAGACTACTGTGATGGTGTCTGATTATCATATCTTCTATTACTTGACAGCTTATATCTTTTTTTAATAATACATCTTTTTATAAAGATTTTATTATAACCACTTAGCATAATTTTAATGAACTATAAAACACTTTATTCATTGGTTGAATGAAGCAATTTTTAATAAGACTTTTGGCAAGGAGATTGTTAATTTAAACTAGAGAACACTTTCAACTCTGTAAGTCTGCAGGGCGTAGTAGTTAAACCTGACACCTTGGATGACACATTAAAAATGCATCAGCAAAAACTCTAAGTGCTTTAATTTAACTAACGGTGGAGAAACAGATTAACACATCTTTAAGTATCTCACACAGTCAGCTAGACATGATGAAAAAAAGTCATTATTTAGCAACTATCAAGTTCTTTCCACAAAAAAATTATATCCTGATAATAAATAGGCAATTTTTTTTAAAGCGGCAAAAATGAAAACTCTTGGTCATAGACTTTCTCAACTATGAGTGACCAAAATGGCTTTTCTTAGGTGCCATATTTCTAGTCATTACGCATATGTCTTTGAAAAAAAGTACATGCTCGGTATTTTTGAAGTAAACATAAAATTATTTTAAAAGATTTTTACTTTGCCATTGTCTGTACTCCCAAATCTGTATTATTTGGAAATGTTATAAAATCAACCTCATAAGCAAGACTTCTGAGATTCCAAAATGCAACAATGAACAAATGGTAAATAGCAGTGAGTATTTCTATTATCAAAGAATATATTTTGACCCCACCTAACCAAAGTCCTGAAATTTGTAGTAAGTTTATTTAAAAGAGATATTATAATGTCAGTAGATATTTCATTAGCCCCACAAAATACATGGAGCCATAATTAAATTTTATGTTGAGATGGTTTTTCCTTGCTATTTTGACAATATTTCCCCAAAGGCATAAAATATAATTTTTATGTATTGTAATTCATAGCTACAGGGATTTGCTGTGACAATGGCATTACATTTATTTGAGTACTCTTGTTGGCTTTTCTAAATGTTGTGGGTTCTTCTGGAGCAGATCTGGATGAGTTGGTACAAAGTGAAGGGACAAAATGTAATCTCAGTGAGAGGATGGATTCCACAATGCTTGTGTTTCAGGTCTAGGATGTTTATTGTGTGGTTGCTGGGTGGCCTTCACATTGGTGGCATGTGTTATCAAGTGAGTCGGCCAGTTTCTTAGGATTCTTCCTGGACCGATTAAAAGGGGAGACCTAATATAACTGGGTTCCAGGATAGCAGAACTAAGGGCTGCTGTGCGATTACATGGCCTTTTAATTTAACAAGAAAGATAGATGGAAGGGTGAATGAATGGATGGATGGATAGACAGACAGTTAGTTATTAAATTGAGTGGAACTGGGAGGAGATTTGTTGGTCTTAAGGGACCCTAAATGTATACAGTGAAACGATTTATAATTTTGTCAGGATCCTGGCTCCAAAGCCCTGGTTAACGTAACAATTGATAAGCTTAGTCAATATCATGAGGCATCTTTATTGTTAGGATGGAAGCATCCAAGAGCCATTGTTTTGATGAACAGTGATTGCAATCTGACCAGGAAAGTTTATATACATGATTTGTTTGTGTATTTATTTATTTTTTAATCTCTTAAGTGGCCAAAATTGTATTGATAAAGGAAATTGAGTTCCTATGAAAGCATGCTTTTGTAATCAGGAATACTAGCTGACTTGACTCTTAGATTTGAATATCAGGCTTCACAATTTCAAATCAATTTGTGAAGGTTTTGAGTTTGTAATAGTATGTGTTATGTTTAAAGCTCTGTACACATTACGACTAATTTTAAAATATCACTTTTAATAAAAGCTTGTTGTCTAATTGTTATTCCATCTGATGAAAAAGTCTTTAAAGATTTCTATGATTTATGTAGAAGGCTGAAAAAAATCACATTATATGCATTTGTTAGAAAAAAATAAACTGTCCTTTAATTTTATTTCCCTGTGAAAAAAACATTTCTTTTCTAGATTTTTTACTCTAAAATCTGGTTAATATTTAGATTCATAATTAGATTTTTTTATCTTTGAGGAGAAATTTTCTTAGTGTGTATTAGATTTTTAGAGGCAAAAATAGAAACAAATAAGATATTCCCAATGCATCTTACTACTCTTATAAATTAGAAATCTTGGTAGAAACAGTTTAACAATTCATCTTTCAGAATAACTTTAATAATTTTGCATTATCAATTGATATTTCTGTTTTTTGTTCTGTTTCCCTTTGCTGGTACTTTATACTTTTAGCAATTTTAAAACGTCACTTTGGCCGGGCGCAGTGGCTCACGCCTGTAATCCCAGCACTTTGGCAGGCCTAGGCGGGCGGATCACGAGGTCAGGAGATTGAGACCATTCTGGCTAACACAGTGAAACCCCGTCTCTACTAAAAAATACAAATAATTAGCCGGGTGTGGTGGCGCGCACCTGTAGTCCCAGCTACTTGGGAGGCTGAGGCAGGAGAATGGCGTGAACCCGGGAGGTGGAGCTTGCAGTGAGCCGAGATTGCGCCACTGCACTCCAGCCTGGGCGACAGAGCAAGACTCTGTCTCAAAAAAAAAACCAGAAAAAAACAGTCACTTTGCCTCACTTAGCCTCTTGTCTTGATGAAGACTGAAGCGTAACTAAATATCTACAATTATGCTTTAAGATAAGTTTTCTCTGGAATTCATGAATAGTTTATGCTGTTTTTCTTGTTCTCCGTAATACAATCACCACTTCTGTTTAGGACTCATTCTGTAATGCCAGGTGCCTTATTATTGTGGTTGTGGTTGTTGTTATTGTTATTATCATTAGACTCTAGTGAAAGGAAGGCTTTGGCTGGTCTGTTGTAAATGGCACAGGGTCCACAAGAAAATTAAA
This sequence comes from Homo sapiens, assembly GCF_000001405.40. Taxonomy (NCBI): domain Eukaryota; kingdom Metazoa; phylum Chordata; class Mammalia; order Primates; family Hominidae; genus Homo; species Homo sapiens. Next base: position 94,925,116 of record NC_000005.10, on the reverse strand, counting down.
TTGTTTCCTCTGAAATAAAGGCCTAAATCTACATGAGAATAGGGGTTGTAAAATGAAATATAAATTTTAGCTGATGGATGACAGAAGTAATTAAACATGGCATGAAAAGCACAGCCTGGGGACTTCAATGCATCTAAATGTGGCTAATATTTTTATTTCTCAAATTTTAAAAGAGAAACCAAAGTCCTAAATCTTGATCATTAAAATTCCCACCTCGCCTCCAAAATCTTAATTGCTGACACAAAATCATAGAATAATCAAGGAAGTTGCAAAAGTGCTTCCTCTTTATCACAGTGTCAACTATTGATGCTTTCCCATGACTGTCATCAGTTTCCTGAAACTTTATCATAACTGACACCTAGAGACAGAATGCAAAGCTTTAACATTTAAGGGAAGACTGTAATTTAGATATTCTATTTAAAAATGGATAGCTATTTTTTTATTTCCCAAAGTTGAATTGGTTTCCTTTATAAAAGTCTGAGGATTAAGTAATAAACTATTCTACTTGAATCCATTGCATTGCTTTTAGTCCAATAGCCAACTCTCTCAGTATTCATTCCTTTTTAAAATTATTGTCAGCGAACTTCAGTTAACTAAGTCACTTACTATGTTTGTTAATTGTATTATAAAATTTGGAATTTTTTGTAGAAATGTAAACCAAATTTGACTAGGTGCATGTTTATAAATAAGACTTCTGCAATCATTCTTTAAAAATGCTCTGAAGTTCAATGGTTAACATAATTGTTTTGTTAAAAGGAATAAATATCTGCTTTACTTTAAAATATTAAAATATGCTTGAACAGTCTACTTTCTATAATAAACCATCAGACTCTAAAATATATTAATGAATACTTAAGAATGAAAAGGTAAGTGGACTCTTAAAAAATTACAGAAATAATCCTCTCTAAACTTTACTACCACAAAAATTTTAATTTACTCAAGGGAAGAAAACTTACAGTTTCTAAATATCCCAAGTATCTTTAGGATATATAATTTTCGATTTTTTATTTGCTTTGATTTTATTTGTTTGTATTTACAATATTAATTATTCTCAAAAACATCTCAAAATGTAGCTAAATATTTGTTTGTTTCTAGGAACTTTCAGAAAATGAAGTGGTTGGATCTTATTTCTCTGTGAAGTCTCTCTTTTGGAGGGTAATGTCTAAATCCTTTTTGTTAATATTCTTGATTTTTGGTTTTGGATAGCAATTTTGAAAGTTACATGGCAACTAAGAGTTTCATTTTTTAAGATAGGCTTCCAGATAGAGGTATTCATTTGCCTTCTTTATTATCTTCTAAGTCATCTAGGTAACTCACTTTTATTTCTACACTTGTAAAAATTAAGAACTTCATAAATTGAACATATTTCTTTGAAGTCATTTTATGAAACCAAGTTTATTCCAAATTCTGAGAAGCTAGAGTCCCAGGGACTCTCCAGGAATATAACGGTGCCATCTGGAAGGTCCATGAAGGCTCTTTCTTTCCTCTCTTGTAAAATGAGATTAGAATTTTCTGCTCCATTTCTGCTTGAGAAAAATATTTACTTCTGTTACAGTGATCTATACTATAACTCTGTCCTAGATATATACTGATCAGTGCTCTTTCTTTGAAAAGAAATCCTATAATTTAGAAAACAGCAACTCTTTTGATTTAAATAAAGACAAAATGATGATTCACAGATAATTTGTTTTAAATGTCATTGCAATTTAACTTACTCTTTGATGATTAAAGCATAATGACCATCCATTTTTTTCTCTGCTCTAATTCTGCATTATGCACAGCACAATTTATTACTAATGCACTTACTGCTTTACCTTTAAGAATGTTCCTCTTTCTTTGAAAATTCACACTTGGTATATGCTTAATGTAACAATAGATATTACAATGAAAATGCTACACTCTTAGGGCTTGTCCATTTTCCTTTCTTAACTCGCAAACTTTTCATTATTGAAAACTACCTTTTTTCTTTAGAATTTTAATATTTGTTGTAGTGTCTCTTAAGTAGAAAGGCAGGTACCAGATTAAGTCATGTATTGACCAGTGAGCAAGTATACGCCACATTTATTCATCCTTACCAGCTCGAATGCACATGCACTTTTTTTTTTTTTTTTTTTTTTTTGCAGCTTTTTATTGTTGTGAGCTTATTTTAGTAATTATACCCTTTTCATTTCTACTGTTTGGCTGCCTTCACTGAAGTTACTCTGTACTTTGCTGAAATAATAATTCCTCTTATATGTTCATGCATTGTCCAGGAACACACAGGATGAGTGCTTTTAAATTGTTCCATGACTTTAAATGGATAATGGCTTTATCCAAAAATTATTTCACTGGCCGGGCCTGGTGGCTCACGCCTGTAATCCCAGCACTTTGGGAGGCTGAGGCGGGCAGATCACCTGAGGTCAGGAGTTGGAGACCAGCCTGACTAACATGGCAAAGCCCCGTCTCTACTAAATACAAAAAATTAGCCAGGCATGGTGGCGCATGCATGTAATCCCAGCTACTCAGGAGGCTGAGGCAGGAGAATTGCTTGAACCCAGGAGGAGGAGGTTGTAGTGGGCTGCGATTGCGCCATTGCACACCAGCCTGGGCAAAAAGAGCAAAACTCCATTTCAAAAAAAAAAGGGGGGGAATATACATGGCACACTTCTTTGAGAGTAGAATTTGGGGGGTGTTCTGGGTTAAGTTTGTTCTATGTGCAGCAAATGTGCACACTGGTCATTGTGAATGAAGATTTGTCACCAGGGCGAACTTCATAATTAATACTTTTTCAAGTGTTTCCCTTTCAAGTGGCTCTCTCAAGATCTTCTTTGCTACTTCCAAGTTTTCCTCTTATCAGTACTTTCCATTTGGTTGTGTTCATCCCCAAATATTCTTTAATAACCTTTCTCAATCTCTTGAACTCTTTGATCCTAGAATAACAAATGTGCAAGTTTAAAAATAAACAAACTTTCTTGTATCCACGGTGTGATGGTAATGTCTTCTCTGGGCCTATGACAATGAAGAGTTGACAAATGAATTGAGTCATATAGGCATAACCTTTAGGGGTCATCTGTTTTACCAATGAGGAAAGTAAGGCCCATCACACTGATGTCATTGCCTTGAGGTACCCAGATGGCATGATCAGAGGCAATATTTCTCTCTCTCTGAATGCCATACAAATAAATGTTTTGAAGAACTTACAGCAGTAGAGTCCCTCTTTGAGTTTATGATGAATAAAAATACCTTGTATAAATAAAGCTGTTCCTTAGCCTGTTATTTTTAATTGACACCCTTTCAAATTCTTCTTGCATTATTTGACCCTTTTCTTCAGCAGCTATGTTAGCCACCAATGGATGGATGTGTTTAAGAGCCATGAGATTGCTGTGTCTGATGTGCCATTTACAAAATCAGAAAATCAGTGACCAAGTCTACTTTGGTTGAGTATTATCTTCCATAGTCACATTCAAAGGTCACTCTGGTAACTAACTGACCTCACTGCTCTTTACCCAAGCAATATTGTTATTCTGATGAGCTTTTAGAGGAGATGTATATGAAAGGAGGTTACCCAGGGACATTTTCAGATATGCAAAATGTCTAAGTAGATAAAATCTTTCATGAAGAGTATACATGTGCTTTGTGGGTTAAGCAGGATGTGAATTGAAATAAATTCCTATCAAGATTTATACAGATCAATACATGTGTCCAAGAGATAGCAACTGATTTACACTGAATGAAACTACATCCTAGTAAAAACTTGCTCAGCTGGAACATCAGTGCTACTTGCTGTATCTTAATTTTCCTGGAAGAAAAGACTGTGTACAGGGATAGTCTAATTGTCTGAAAACATAACATTTGTTATTCATCAAAACACTATCTTAGGATAAAAAATATTAAGCCATGGATATGACAATTACCATGTTTCTCATGAAAACAATAAAAATTATGTGAATCAGATTAAGTAAAAATTGTATTAAAGACTAACTTCCCACTTAAAGGTGGGAACTTAGTGCAGTGTGTTCAAATATTTAGCATGCTTAAGTTTCTTTTTAGTTATCTCCACTGAGTGGACTTACAGACCCTGATAAAAGAGTTAATTGAGCAAACCACCTTACAAGAACATTGCAGTGAATCAAAGAGAAATTTAAATATTTTTTAAGTGGAAAAGTCTGGAACGTGCCAAGATACTTCATATAAAAATCAAGAAAAGGGTCACAATGGGCAAAGGAGAGTACATAGAAAAATACAAAGTAATTTAGAAGTTATATCAGAGTACCGCCTTCCGGTCAGGTCAAGCAAAAGTGTGTCTGAAGGAAGATTGAAGGTTAAGGAGAAGAGTTTTTGACTTTTTATTATTTATTTATTTATTTATTTATTTATTTATTTATTTATTTATTTTGAGACGGAATCTCCCTCTGTCGCCCGGGCTGGAGTGCAGTGGCGCGGTCTTGGCTCACTATAAGCTTCGCCTCCCGGGTTCACGCCATTCTCCTACCTCAGCCTCCCGAGTAGCTGGGACTACAAGCGCCCGCCACCAAGCCTGGCTGATTTTTTTGTATTGTTAGTAGAGACGGGGTTTCATGTGTTAGCCAGGATGGTCTCGATCTCCTGACCTCGTGATCTGCCCGCCTCGGCCTCCCAAAGTGCTGGGATTACAGGCGTGAGCCACCGCGCCCTGCCGAGTTGTTGGCTTTTTAAAACAAGAATGGAATCCTGTGCTGAAGCACTTACACGCTAAACAACTCAACCATAGGTAACATCCACCCAAGATGAGTTCAGGAATTATCTCCATTTTTAAGTATGATGTTATTTATACTCAAAAATAGGTGTAACTTTTAATTAACAGTCTCAAAAAAAAAAAAAAAAAACAGGTCTCTGTAAGGCAGGCCCAAGACTATTGTTCCTTTCCCATATTATTGCTAGAAATTTGTAGATTATTTCAGCAAGCCAAAACGATTACAATATATGTGATGATTTTCTATTTGTATGTATTTTCGAACAAACGTAGTAAAAGCTTTGAAATTTTGTTGGACCACGATTAAAGTTAGAGAGGATAGTTAAAACATCTTAAGTAAACATAAAGAACTTCCTGGCACCATAAATTGTATCAAGAAGCAATGGAAATACAAAAGAAAGTTTAAGGATTAAAAACCAGCAGAATTTCGCTAAGGATTATGGTGCCAGTAAATCATCTTCTAAGAAAAAAAGGATCAAAGCTTTATTATAAGATGAGACACTTCAGACTGCGCTGGACAAAGCACTGGGAGAGTTTTCTGTAAAAGCAATCCTACTTTGAGAGGATGGGTGGATGGCAGAACAAATGCACTTGTTGGACTTCATCATCCAGGTGCAATTCGCTGGAATAAACTCAGCAGGAAAAGCAAAAGATAGAACAGGCCTTTGCCTGGGATTGAGCTAATTGCTCCACACTCGTCTTTGCAGCACAAAACAGTCATTCTAGGCTGTCATTATCTCTTCTTTGTAGTGTCTCGGGGATCATTTGATTAAATAAAAGCACATGCACCCTGTGCTGAAAATAGAAGAAAGAGCTGATTCCACACATGGCTTATTGTAAACACATAAGCAATGTCTTTCACTCCCCGTTTCAGTGTCTGGGTCTCATTTGGAAAGATTAGGTTGTACACAGGTAATAAAATCCAGGATAACAAAAGCCAAGGATTATTTGTACTTATCAGGGAAGGGGATTGGTTTAACTGTGTTCCCTTAGTATCATATTAAGTCTAAATCGATTTTTTTTAATTTTCCATTTTTAAATCACAACGAGAAAAATAAAATATCTCATTTTTAGTGATCCACCTTTTCAAGAAATGGAATTACTAAACTTTTTAAACTAAAACTGGAATATAGAAATGCTTCCAATTTATATGCTAGATTCTATGACTTCACCACCTTACTGGTAGACATTGAACTATAATTTATTATAGAGTAAAGTGAATAACATATGCTAGGGTTATTACCACCCGCCTACTCTTACTTCCTCTAATCCCTCGATTAGCCTTTCTCGATAATCTATAACCAAGGATACATTTCACCTAAGTGACAGGCAAAGTATTTTGAAAACTCCTATACCAATTAATTTCTTTTGTTGTACCATGAATTTCTTAGTCTCTGTCAAAAAAAGGGAGACATGGGTTGGGGGTGGAAATCATTGATTAGGTCTCAGCAACTCTAGATTCAAATCTCAGCCTTGCCAATCTCTAGTCATTTGGCTTTGAGTGGGGTACTTATCTTCTCTATGCCTCAGTTTATTTACCTTAAAATAAGATTCCTGTCATGAAAAACACTGGAGTGCGAAAACAGCAGCATGTAATAGCTGCACAATAAATGTTCCTTTCTTTCCGTGTGATTTAACCCACCTTTCTGACTGCCCTAATCCAGTCTTCTCTGTTGATGTTATTAAGGCTGATGACTCACTCTAATCTCATCATAATACTATTGTTAAGAAACTTTCTTTAACTGCTCCAGAAGACCTGTAATATAAACTTTCAGTCCCACCATGATAATTTCCCCCCAGGAGTTCCTGTTCAGCTATATCTTTCTTAATCCATCTCTTGCTACTCTTGGTCTTGGTAGTGAAGGGATCTTTGGGTTACTTTTTCGTAGCAAAGGCAGAAAAGGGAGGTGTCATGTGGGACAAAATTTCCCTATTAGTTTAGAGATACTTCTTTAATCATTGCAAAAGATTTACATGTGGGATGCAAGGTTAATATGATCTTAGTTTTTGCCTATTCATGTCACATTTATTTTTCTGAAAGCTTATCACTATTCTGACATTTTGAAGCAGCAGACTTGGAAACAATTATTCTTTCCATGATTTCTCTTGCTATAGTTATTTTCTCTGATGCACCTATTAACAAAAACCTGAAATCACTTAATTAGGCTCTATTACCATATAATCTCTGGGCTTCATTTCCTTGACCACTGCAGCATCATTCTACTAAAGAAAATAGTGGCTGGAAATGTAGAATTGCATTGACATTTATCTTCATTGTGCTATAAGACATTTTCTGACAGTGACTTGAGAAGCAAATACAAATTTTCTCAAATAATGTTTTCTGAAGAGTAATTCAAACTGCTGATCAAAATGAGGGGTTGAGAATGGTACAAAGCTTCCCCGTACAGCTCTGATCATTCATTTCCATCCAGACGTGCGGCAGGCCAGCTCTTCCTGTCCTGGGCTTCTGCAGAGCAGAGCTTCAGAATCCTTATTGCAAAAATGTACAAGTAAGTTCAACCATTCAGTTCATTTATTTTTTTCTGAGCTTGCATGAGCTGGGATTTCTGAGAGCCAACTTACTGTACTGAAAACCCACTCCCTATACTAACCTATTTTGTAGATATGAAAAGGAATTGTAATCTTAATTTTTTTCAAGGAATAATGTAACTAACACTTTCTTTACATTGCCAGCTCATTTGTTCTAAAATCTTACTAAAGATACATGTTATGGACTAATTGCTTCAGACTTTGAAATCTGTATTGTTACCTGGTGTCTTGATATTCTTTATTAATTATGAACTTGGATGAATACTCCTTATGAAAGTGGATCTAAAACTTTGGATGTATGAGAATCACATGGGGCACATACTGAAATACAGATACAGCTCTACTCCATAAGAACTGAATCACATCTCAGAGAATCACGCAATTTCAGTAAATTGACTGCTAGAATTTGAGAACAACTACCTTACAAGTTCAAAGATTATTCCTTCCTTTTAAGGGCTTTGGTTTTGTTCTTTGCTTTGAAGAACAAGGTTGGTTTTTTCCTTTTTATTCTTCCTGCCTTTTTTCTTGTCCTCCTCAAGAAGAGTTCTAATTCAACAAGGACCTAGTTGAGAGCATTACCTCAGAAAACTAAGTACCAGCCGCAATATGCAAATTTTATTGAGTGATACCTTGGATTTGTTTAATACTCCTTGCCCTTTAGGTGCTCAATAAGTGATTTTGGTGGACTAGCAACACTTCAATAAATATGTGTTATTTAGATATATTTAGGAGAAAAAATAATAAAGGAAGAAAAGAAGCACAGCTTTTCATAATTATTCAGTAGGGTCCTACTTCTCTTTTTAAATACTCCAAATATCTAGACCAATATGCTTCCCTAATCAGTAAATTTAGAAGCAGGACTAAAAAAGGACTTTAAATAGCATAAATAATATTCACGTTAATGTCTACAATTGTATTAATAGTTATTAGAACAAAGAGAAGCCAGTGCGCATGCACCACATAACTTTCAAAGCAAGAATCCTCACTCTAGAGTGTGTATCAGAATTACCTGGCAGGCTGGTTAAACCAGAATGCCTGGCTCCACTCCCAGAGTTTCTGATGCTGTTAGTCTAGATGGGGTCAGAGGATTTGAGTTTCTAAAAAGTTCCCAGGTGACATCAATGCCACTGGTCTGTGGACCACATATTTGAGAGATTTGCTATACAGAGGAAGCAAACTTTTTAAACAGAGCAGCAAGTGACTCAGAAGTTACCTTGGAGAGCATCAGAATTTCATAGTTTGCAAAGTTTCTTTTTGCCGTGGTATTCTGCCCATCCCCACTCCCTCAATGAGCTCCCCAGAACTTTGATTCTGAAAATAAGTAAAAGTAATAAATGACTATCTTGAGCAAGCTAAATCTTCATTGTTTATGGAGTGTACTTCTTTCTCTGTAGGCCCCTGAACACACAACCTCCCTCCACCCGTAGATACACACAGAAAAGTGTTGTTAGTACACCTGGGGCCCTGAAGTACAGTCTAGAAAAATCAAACATAAGAAAACTGAGTCCCAGAGAGGGAGAAACATGCCCAAGCATATAGCCAGAAATTGCTAGGAAGATGTGAGTGAACATTTATTTATGTTACATGCTTATCTTTTCTGCTGTTGGTAGCCTATGTTTATATCTTTTACCTTTACCTGTAATTTTATTTCAAGTCTCACTTCTTCATGCATAGACTAAATATTTAACAGTTTCATGACTATGCAGTTGCTCAATAAAATCTACAATTGAATTATGGAGTTTCTTTGTAGAGAAGTACCATTTTGAACAAAAATTATTGAAGAAGAAAACATCACTTAAAAAATATCTGAATAGAATATCTTTGAAACTTTTTAAATTTCTTCTTCTTAGCCTTATGTGCAGGTCCCCATAATTACCACACCCATTAGCCCTGTTTTTATGAAGAAATGTTCTCCTTCCTCCCACTTAGCTCCCCAAGTTGTTTTGGAAATGTTCTTCTGGGTTATAGAAAAGCATTTCACAGCAACTAATGGCAGTAGGTAAAGTCTCTATTATGTTCATTTTATTTCTGTGAAAGCATAAAGGACCCAATGGAAAATGGAATCTTTTCTCCTCCTGTGAGCTTTACATGAGAACATGAACTTGACTTACAGGGTGAAAATGGCTTTTCTCTCCCTCACTCTGTAAGCCAAGTTCATGTTCTCATGTTAAAAACAAACAAACAAAAAAACCAGAAAACAAAATGAAAGGAGGAGCAAGCAAGGAAGGCACTATTTTAGACATGGCACTGTTAAAGAAACTTACTTCACATTGCTAATTGAAGACACTGTGTAAACTAGCTTTTACCCAGCTACTATTTGACTGCTTCTAGAGAGCACATAGAAAAATGGCATTAAGTATATTCTTCAACAAGCTGAAATATTATAAACACATGTGGTCATATAATAGAAAAGTAAAAGACAATTTCATGAATTAGCCATGTGCTTGCCACTTAAGTGGAGAGTACCCTTTGGAAACATTTTGTTTCAATCATACTTACCTTTTAACCTATGAGAGAATCTCCACCCTAAACACTTGTATTGGGGAAGCTCAGGAATAAAGATGAGAAATATTGGGGTTCTAGTCATATATCTACCATTTATGAGCACAACCACTCTGAGTTCCATCAGTAAAATGGGGCTAAGAAGCCTTGCCTTCTGACCTCATGGGGTTTTCGTGGGAACCAAATGTTGTAATGTAGATATGTACACTTTTAAATTCTAAAGCTCTATATAAGTTGGCAGCTATTAGCTCCTTGATCTTTGCTAAAATAATTACTTCTTCTTGCTTGCCACAACATTTGTTTTCTTTGCTTCCTTCTTTGCTACTCATATTCCTTAAAAAAGTTTCCAGTCCAAAGTTTAAAACCCAATTCTCTAGAGTCTGCTGTTAGAGGCAGTCTCAACAGCAGCAGAAGTGGTTAAACCAGTCATACACCAAAATCTACAGCTGGATTATATAATAATAAGTTGCATGAAATCTTAGAACTAAAACAAAGACCTTGGGCATAACTGGGCGCAACAAATTCTAAACAATTACTTTCATCTGAGAAGTCCTCTGTTCAACAAAATCCAATGTGGAAATCCAATATGGAGAACAGACAGGAGCAGAGGGGCTCCAGCTGAAGTGGGCATGGAGTTCTGCAGAACTTGCAGGTGCTCCATGAATTCTCCATTACACTTCAGAACACATTTGAATGCTGCTCTTGAAGCTCACAGGGATGAAGAGTATGTAGACAAAAGCCTGCGTTGATATTCATAGGGCAGAGCCACCAGGCAAAGTTCAAAATGTGCTGTGTTCAACAAGGCAGGAAAATATGCAATGTGATTTTGAAAGATTTTCATTGAAATGTTCAAATATTAGAAGTATTATCTTTTGAAGAATGTAGTTTTCATTTTCCTAATAGAAGCACTCTGAAATGCATGACTTTTGATGATGATGATAAAAATACCTATGGCGTTGCTCTGGTATGGAAAAAGGTAGGAAGTCAAAGTGGGAGGCAGAGTTACGTAAAATAGACTGTAACTTTGTAACATTAACGTAGAACGGATCAGATAGAAAGTAGTGCTAATCCGTAATTTAGAAGTGTACTTTGAGGTTGAGAGGAATGTTGAATTTCTTTATGAAATGACTGTGAGTAGGAAAAACACATTTGATAATATGAAAGAAACTATTTTTACAGTACTGCTTGATGCTGAATCCAGATTGAAAATGTTTTCACATTTAGTTACTTTCTATGGCTTGTTTTATGTCCTTTTTAGTTTAAAGAGATTATGTGGCCATTTTTAGTAGACTTGCAAATTTTAATAAAAGTCTAAGCCAGGTGTGGTGGCTTATGCCTGTAATCCCAGCACTTTGGGAGGCTGAGGCAGGAGGATCACTTGGAGCTAGGAGTTCAAAGCTGCAGTGAGCTATGATCATGCCACTGCACTCCAGCCTGGTCAACCAAGCAAGACCCTTTCTCTAAAAACAAAACAAACAAAAATAAAAAATAAAAATTAGCTGGGTGCAGTGGTGCATGCCTGTTGTCCCAGCTACTTGGGAGGATCACTTGAGCCCAGGAGTTTGAGGTTACAGTGAGCTATGACCATACCCCTGCACTCCAGCCTGGGTGACAGAGCAAGACTCTGTTTCTAAAAAGAAAAAAAAAAGAATAATAAAAGTCATTAAAGAAAATATTCAGATACTAAAATGTAAAATAAATTCAGAAACATACTTGCCAATATAAATCACATGGGTAACTTTAAACATTTTAAATATTTGTGATGAAAGTTTTAGGTATAAGCAAGACATCTTAGATGGGCTTATTGATTTTGTTTTCTATTTTGTGGTAACTTAAATTGTCCTTTAGCAATCTGAAGCTCAATAATCTCCAAATGTGGCAAGAAAGAAGTTTTTAAACTATCTGGATAGAACTTGCAACTAATCTTGCAATTAAAAACCACCTGTAAAATATATTTATAACATAGAGATCTTCAAACACCATAAATAGTTTAAAAATTAAATACCACAGTATGAACGAGGCCTTTGATATTTCTAACATTTATTGTATACATATTTTGGCATAAGCCTATTTGGCACACATGCAAATATTCTCTGATATTCTTGAAGTATCTACATCTTGTAATCTTAAGAATTGAAAAGCTAGACTGTATTTTGAACACTCAACTCTTTTACACAACGAATTTATCATGAAATGATAATTTCATAATTTATTAATTTTATAATTAATTAATAATTCATAATTATTTTTAGTTAAAAAAATTATAATTGCCGATCCTTTATTTTTTGAAGAATCATAACAGGAGAAAAGGTAACGCCAAAATGAGGTTTTTGGGTTTAAAACACAGTAACCTAACTCAATTTTCATTTGCCAAAAGTTTCAGACCCAAAGTTTACGCCTATCAGACCTACACAGAAAATCGCATCTTTGGAGAGGAATAGTCAGCATCACCTTGATTGAAGGGAGAGACCTCAAGGCCATGGATTCCAACGGGTTGAGCGATCCCTACGTGAAGTTCCGGCTTGGGCATCAGAAGTACAAGAGCAAGGTAACCTTGTCTCTATTGTGTTCCTGTCAATATTTGGAAGGCATTGGTTGGTTAATAGCCCTGCTTTAGGAGATGAAACCACTAGATAATGTTTTAAATGCTTAACAAACTCTTTTGAACACCATGTCAGAAAACAAGACCAATAATTGTATAGCATTTTTAAATTTATGTACTAGGTGACCTCCCATAAACTACTTGTCTATGTCCCAATTTCTTCATCTACAACATAGCAATAATAGTTGGAACTATCCCTTGGCATAGCTCTGTGGATTAAAACAATAACAGCCACCCAGAAAACACATAGTTGATGCCTGGCACATAAAGTACTCAGAGTGCGGCTTTTTTTTTTTTTTTTTTTTTTTTTTTTTTTTTTTTTTGATGGAGTCTCACTCTGTCACCAGGCTGGAGTGTGGAGTGCAGTGGCATGATCTTGGCTCACTGCAACCTCCGACTCCCGGGTTCAAGCAATTCTCCTCTCTCAGCCTCCCGAGTAGCTGGGACTACAGGTGCATACCACCATGCCCAGCTAATTTTTGTATTTTTAGTAGAGACGTGGTTTCACCATGTTAGCCAGGATGGTCTCGATCTCCTGACCTGATGATCCACCCACTTTGGCCTCCCAAGAGTGTAGCTTTTAACATTATTACAACTAGTGCTAATATCAGTATTATAAATAGCATTATTTTACATGCCATAAAAATCTTTGTATGTTACTCTTATACACTTTATCCAACCTGACTTGTACCAATGCAAATAGCAAATTTTAAAATTTATTAGAACAAGTTACTTTGTCTCTCCATATCTTAGTTTTCCCATCTGTAAAAATGAGAGTTAAAATAATGCCTACCTAACAAATTTACTAAGATTAAATGAATATATGTTACGCATTTAAAGGGCTTAGAATACTGCCTTGTCCATAATCACTCAGCAAACAAAAATAGCAGAAGAGGAAGAGTAACAACAGTAGTAAGAAGTATATCGTATAGTATCAATTATAGTAGTAGTAATAATGTATTAAACAATAATATTAGTAATATAAGTAATAATGAATAAGGGTCTAGTAGTCATAACTATATTTTTGGCACATGTCTTATGTATTAGTTCATTCTCACACTTCTATAAAGAACTACCTCAGACTGGGTAACTTATGAAGAAAAGAGGTTTAACTGACTCCCAGTTCTGCAAGCTGTACAGGAAGCATGGCTGGGAGGCCTCAGGAAACTTACAATCATGGCAGAAGGCAAAGTGGAATCAAGCATGTCTTTCTATGGCAGAGCGAGAGAGAGTGAAAAGGGAAGTGCCACACACTTTTAAACAACCAGATGTTGTGAGAATGCATTCACTATCATAAGAACAGCAAGGGGGATGTCCGCCCCCATGATTCAATCATCTCCCACTAGGCCCCTCCTCCAACATGTGGGGAGTACAATATGACATGAGATTTCGGTGGATACACAGAGCCAAACCATATCATCTTATCTCTGTTGTAATGAACTATGTCCTCTTTATTGGTCAGTTTTTACAGATGTTATTCATAGACAGCTTAGGACAACTGATCATATCCGTCTTGTATTAAAGATCACATTCCATTCTGATGGGCATTTATTCACCTTAGTGTCATAATCTCTATAGATTTTTGATAAACAGCCTGCTTAGGTCCCTTCCAGCCCAGGAAGTTTTCACTAGTACTTAAGGTAGTTAAAAATATCAGAGAGCCCATCATTAGCAGGCAGTGAGTATTGCTAGCAGGCTGATTGGAGTGTCCACATAGAAAGGGAAGGCATTATTTCTGACCTGAAGGAAATAATATAGGGAAGGCAATCCTAGAAAAGAAAACTGAAAATTTAGTCTGTTTAAGGCCAGATAAGTAAAGACAGACCACACCCCAAAATACCACAGAAGTTCATCTGAGCCTGATTATAAGACATTTAAATTATCATAGCCTTCATTCAGTGCCATTTTTTTTCTGCCATGGGGCTTATATTAAAGTAGCTATAATATATAACATATATTAAAGTAGCTACTGATTCCAAAAATAGGTACCTATGACCACTTCTATCTTCTCCTTTCTTAGTTAGCACCATTTCCGTGTTCTAGTTAGGCTAAAAACATTACTTATTTTTATAGTTCTGCTCTTTAGGTATGAAATATGAAACCCAGCAATGGACATGTGTCTCTCTTTGCTCTTTCTTTCCTTGATCTATCGCTGATTAATTTCAGATTATGAACTTTAAAAATTGTGATTCATTTGCATTACCTTTGCATATAACATACTTCATTGCTTTCAAACTTTACATCTGAAGATCTGTCTGCCATACATTAAAAAGAGAAAAGGCCACTGCATGCCTTCCTGCTAAAAAGAAAGAACAAGGAAACAAATATAAATGTTGTTTAACCCAATGGTGAATGGAATTTTAAAATTCCATTCCTATCAATATAGGTTACTTTGCTCATTGATTCTACCATACAGGATGACTTATCTGAATACTTGAAGTTACAGAATTACATTTCAGATATCTTTCTTGTATATGCAACACAAAGAGTATATCCACATATGTGTATATATACATACATACATATATGTATACACATATATGTATATATACATATATGTATGCACACATACATATATGTATACATGCATATACATATGTATATACTCATACATATATACATGTATACATACATATATACTCATATATTCATTTATTATTTCACAGACATTTTTGGCATATGGTTTTGGGGGAAGAGTC
This sequence comes from Homo sapiens, assembly GCF_000001405.40. Lineage (NCBI taxonomy): Eukaryota > Metazoa > Chordata > Mammalia > Primates > Hominidae > Homo > Homo sapiens. Next base: position 94,910,052 of record NC_000005.10, on the reverse strand, counting down.
CCGAAGCTTTAATCAAAGACTTTGAGTTAGTGTCTAGATACTAAAACATACTGACCGTAGGTGTGTCACTTAAACTCTAGGTCTCAGCTTATCCATCTATAACATGAGATACTACATCAGTGCTATAAGTCTAAGATAAAAGTTTGCCTGACTACCCAAAAGCTACTTGCGTTTTTCTCCTGCTCTCACAGAAATTCATTGTCTGTTTTTCATGTACTCAAGTCAGGATTCCAATGTGTATGGCAAGTAAGAAAAAAACAAACTCTGAAAATCCTCATTCTCCTTTATTTTGAGATGACTGACTGGCTATGAGTTATATCTTAATGCATTAACTATGATTATGTAAAATATTGCTAGTATCCGAGTGAGCTATTTCTTTCATAGATTATTACCTCTTCTATATAATTTATATATCTTATCTGTTATTTAAAATAATCAAAGAATGTCTTGTGATTTTCAGGACACATCCATTGAGGTCCATTCATGTACTATTCAGTAAAGATGCTGGAGATCTAATGAGTTATTTCCATTATTTCTGTAATCTTTTTTTCAAATAGCACACAGCGTGCTTTTCTAGATACTATAGTACCAAAAGTTTGATTTAGTGTCTCAGGTTGAAGTTTTTTTTAAAAAGCTGCTAGCAATATGACAATTATGATTTTTTTTTCCAGATTATGCCAAAAACGTTGAATCCTCAGTGGAGGGAACAATTTGATTTTCACCTTTATGAAGAAAGAGGAGGAGTCATTGATATCACTGCATGGGACAAAGATGCTGGGAAAAGGGATGATTTCATTGGCAGGTTTGTGCAATTTGTAATTTTTGGTTCACTCCTAGAGCATTTTTATTAAAAGAATATTTGCTGTAAGCCTGGTTATTGTAAATGATCTTTACTGTTTTGAAGAAAGGGACTTTACCATGGTAAGGCAATGCTTGGATGAACTGAAAAATAGATTCAAAAACTGACCAGTAGGTGGCGGTTTTGACCAGTTGATGGACACAGGCTATCTGAATTTGATATCCATGAATTTTCTCCAGATGTCAAAGTTATGGGAGTTGAGAAAGAGGAATTTCATCTGATATAAGATACATAAAGGAACAAAGACCATATTCATAGTCTGTAAAGTGATCTAAGATAATATTTATTTTCATAAAGCATACTATCACCGTAAAATGCATTATTTTCTACAACGCCCTACAAGGTAGAGAATGCTTGTAATCTCCTTGGAGTTCATAAATCTGTAAAGAGTTCCCAAGTATTAGTGTAGGAAGCATGTAAGTGAGGCAGATCCATGTTAATCTGATAGCACAGTAAAGAAAGGAGTATTCTGAGGCTTACATGACATTTTTCACAAAGTTAAGGTTATTTTGAGTGACTACTTGAATCATATGTTTTCTTAATTTAAAGCCTATGTTTATATTTTTTGATAGTTATATATGTGTCTTTGTAGCAAAACACATTGAAACCTGCCAATATTGAAATAAAGTGTGGTGTACTGAAGAATTTGTTAATTTTTTAAATTAAAAAAAAATTCTTTCCTCACTGTAGCTTACATGAAATTCCAAGTCTTTAAACATACAGCTTGAAGAAAATTTATACATACTAAGAGTAAAATAAATTATACTCCAGAAAAGTAAGAACAGGAATCCAATCCAACATATTTATCTCTTGATTTTTTTTATGATGCAGTTATATATATATCATTTTCTTCATAGGATTATATAGTGAGAGGTCAAAGATGAGCTTCAGGTAGCCTTTACTATTTTACTTGTAAAGTGAGCTTGGAAAACACCACCGTAATCTAATACTACATTACATTTCAAGCCTTTTTAAAGCACAGGCCTTTATTGCACATTTTTTCCCTTAATTAAAACACTATTTTCAGAGTTTTCCTAAAGTTTTATCTTGTTCTCTTTGGGATATACCACATCTGTTAATACATTAAATGCATTTCATTATAATTATATATCTAAGATTCTGTCTCCCTCAATAGGCTATGAGCTCTTTCGAGAAGGTGCTAAGTAGCTATTCCTCGAATGATTAGTTCATTTTCTTTGGTTATAATAATATTAGTTATATTTGGTGACCACAAGATAATCAGAATGATGGGCATGTGTAACTTGCTACTTCAACCTTATTTCTTTGTATTCAAACTCTCTTATCTTGGTAAAATAATGGAGATTATGCTGTAAATATTCTGGCTACCTGTATTTCTAGGTATACATTACATTCCTTCATATCCCTTCTTCTCTCTATTTTTTTTTTCGTATAATGACAGATGTTCTTTTATATTTTTTTCCTTTGGTAAGAATTTTCCAATTTAAAAACTGTGAAAATTTCTCAGGCCAATTGGGACTGATCATTTTCTTTTCCTCACTTAATAACATTATGAGTTCTTCAAGGGCAGACATGGTTGACAGAAAGGTGGACCTAACTATCTCACTTCACTTTGTTTCTAAAGGGTTTTCATATTTTGGCTAATTTTTGAGAAAACAGTACAAATTGCTGGGTAGAAGATCATAGGGATTATTCCAGGTATCTGTGGAAGCTTGAAAAAGAGAAGTCTATTTTCGGTCATATACCAAACTTAATTGCCTATGAGAGCAATTTAAGCCCAAAAGTTTTAGAGTGAAATGAGCACAGGTATAGACAAGACAGCTCTGGAGTAGTGGTTTATACTGGTTTACACAATGAAAGGAATGAGTGTTAGATTTTGAGATACTGAAAGATGGACAATAGAAACATGCTGCACACTCCTAAATTAGCAAGGTTGCCTTTTGCAGAAAAGGGAAATAACTATGATGCATCATCATTTCAAATCTTTTTGATATCCAGATGGCACTGAAAATTCCAGGTCTCTAACTTGACGCTTGTTAAATTGCTCTTTAAAAGCATCTTGCCGCTGAAAAGCAACATGTTATTATACCTAAGTATCAGGCAAGTTGTGTTTCTTTATTTATTTGAAGCTTGCATGGAAACAGTGGAGATAATACAGATTATAATAGAATTACTTAATTCCTAGAATAGTTTCAAAGACAATTGACTTACTTTCCAATTAAATTTGAGTATTCAGGGTGAAGTAACAGTAATAAAACTGTCATCATAATCATCTGTCCTTTTTTGCAAGCTCTCACTGCAACATTCTGTGTCTGTTAATTTTGAAAGTAGAGACTATTCTAGGAATTTGCTGGAGGCTTGTGAGTAAGTTTAAAGTTGGCCATGGAGGGTAATACTATTCCTTCAATGGCTAGTAACATTTTTTAAGGGTACTGTCTGAGCTGAGTCCCAAATTTGAGAACATTTGTATGGATTACATTATCTATATAGACTAGTTTATTATGCTATGGTTTATAATTGTCTATTTTACTTTCCATTTTTGGTCATATATAATGATTTTTTAAAATATATTTTGTAAATGCAAACTCAATAACAGAGTTTGTTTCATTATATTTAATAAAAATAAGACTGGCTATGAATGAAAGAGCCACTTGCAAATCTGGAGTGTCAAAGAGTTAAAACTATTTTAGTACTGAACATTACCCACTTCCATTCTTGTTTTTGTTTTTGAGACAGGGTCTCGATCTGTCGCCCAGGCTGGAGTGCAGTGGTGCGACCTCGGCTCACTGCAACCTCCACCTCCTGGGCTCAAGCGATCCTCCCACCTCAGCCTCCTGAGTAGCTGGGACCACAAGCATGCACCACCATGCCCGGCTAATTTTTGTATTTTTGGTAGAGGCAGCGTTTTGCCATGCTGCCAAGGCTGTTCTTGAAGACCTGAGCTCAAGCAATCCACCATCCTCGGCCTCCCAAAGTGCTGGGATTAACAGGTGTGAGCCACTGCGCCCAGCCCCCACTTCCATTCTTACTTGAACTAATATAGTCAGGCATTTGCCCCCAACAAGCCACCAAAACTACTCCTGTCAATGTCCCCCAAGCCCACCACATTGTTCAATTCAATGACCAGTTTTCAACCTTCGTCTAACCTGACCCAGCAGCAGTACTGGATTTAGCTGACCCCTTCCTTACCTTAAAACACATTTTTCGCTTGCCTTCCAGGACACCGCATGCTCCTTGTTTTTTTCTTACCTCACTGCATGCTCTTTCTTGTCTCCTTTGCAGGTTTTTCCTCATCCCCTCATGTTGTAGTTCTGGAAAGCCTCGGAGCTCACTCTTTGGGCATCTTCTTCATCTATACTGGCTCCCATGGTGACTTCATTGATTCACAAGAGTCCAGCTCCACTCCATAACTCTTCTCTGCATTCCAGATTCCTATATTGCACTGCCTACTTGATATCACTATTTGAAAGTCTAATAGATTTCTCCAATTTAGAATGTGCAAAGCTAAACTTCTAACCTTCAGTCCCACACATCTGCTCCTCCTTCAGCCTTCTCTTGTTTGTTGCTAACACCAAAAATCGTGGAACCATGTTTGATTCCTTTCTTTCTCTCACTCTCATCAAATCAATCAGCAACCTGATAATTTTTCTTCAAAACATATTGAGGATTCTCGACCGCTCATCATCTCTATCATTATCATTGTGGTCAAAGCCACCATCAGCTTTCATATGGACAGTAGCAACAGCCTCCTGTTCTTCCTTCCACACCTCCCCTCCCACAACAGTCTGTTTCCAATTAGCAGCCAGAGTAATATTTTTAAAACAAAAATAAAGTAACTTAACTCCTCTGTTCCAAATCCTTTAATTGTTTTGCATCATAATCTAGGGACAGCCACAGTCCCTTCAGTGGCCTATAAGACTTTGCACAATCTGGCCTTGTTGCTTGTCTACTATGAACTTCTGCTATTCTGCCTATCCCCGTCCTTCATTCACTTTCAGCCAGCTGGCCTCTTTGCTGTTCCTCAAGGCATACCAGACACCCTCCCACCTCAGGACCTTTCCCTCTATCTAACTTTCTTCAGGGATCCACTCACCTGCCTTGCTTCTTCATCTTCTTTAGATCTGTGCACCAATGTCTCATCAGGGAGGCGTCCATACCAAGCCTATTTAAAATTGAACCTGCTTTTCTTGGCATTCCATTCCTCTATTCTGCTCTGTTTTTCTCCATTAAAGCAACCACCATATGGCAAACTATGCATCTTATTTATGTTATCATTTATTTTCCCTCATTAGAATGTAAGCTCCACGAGGGCAGGGATTTTTTGAGTGTTTTGTTCACTGCAACATACTCCATACCTAAACAAGTATCTGGCACCAAGCACTCAGTAAATATTTCCTGGGTTTGAATATAAATCCCTGAAGCTTGATTTAACACTGGAAATTATGGCTCTTTGTCAGACAAATGCTGATCTGACACCAGGCATTAATGGAAAGGCAATTAGAACAACATGACTTAGTTGAAGGTAAGAAAGTTTCAGTGTAACTGTGGAAAGGTAATTGAATATAATGCAAAAGAGAAGAATGAATTAGTTAAAGTATAAAAGTGTCTGAATAATCTTTATACTTCAGTAATAATAAATGGCCATATTTGGGGGAAAAGTAGGCTATACATTTACCAAGACACTTACTATAACTTTTCATCATCATGATATCTACGGAGCTGTCTGGTTGTAAAACTTTACACAAAAGTAAATTTACCATAAATGGAAAGAAACAATAATAATAATGCTTTACAACCTGCAGGGCCCTATTATACACATTAGCTTTACACTCTGGGGTAGCAGGGGTGGTTCATATTATACCAATTTTGCAGATGCAAATAGTGAGGCTGAGGGCAGTTAAGAGGTTGCTCAGCCAGTGGAGTGATTGATCTGAGGCTCAAATCCAGATCAATCTAAAGTCCATGCTTATTTCATCACACTCTTGTATTCAGCATGTTGTCCTGGAGCCATGGAGTGCTCAGTAAAATGCCAAGTACTCGGTAAACTAACTTAGGTGATGCACACCATATTGCAAGTTTGAACAACAAATTTTACCTGTCACTGAACTACAAATTTCAAGTGAAGGTGAAATAATGTTAATCTGCATGTAATTATTTAACTTTCTGATCACCTGCATTTTGGCAGGCAAGACGGACTGCCCCCTTTACGATAATCAGCTAATAAATCCCCATGATTGTTACACTTTTATGCAGAGCAGTAATCTGAACAAATTGGCTGCTGACAGCTGTGGTAAATTGCCAAGAATGAGTGCTGTCAGGGAACAAGTTGTTTTTATGAATGTGCAGAATAAGTAAATCCTGTGTCATGCAATTTTATTCAGTTGGAGTTATTTGCAATCCAATATAGCAAGATTTACAGCATTATTTATTAGTGTGCCAAATGCTTGTTTATCTTTAAAGTGGCGTTGATTTGGGGTACATATATTTTAGGTTGGTGAATTGCTACTGACTTCGTTGCATTGTTCTCAGGGCCTAGGCATTTGGTGCTACCCATGACAACTAAATGCTACCAATGTACGCTTGAGTCAAGGGCTTAATTTTAACGAAATTCTTATTAATGGTATATGATAAGAAAAATATATTCTGAATTGGTAAGTTCTGGGTGAAGAACAAATGCTTTCAAAATCTACAGCCATAAAAATAAATCTATGGCTCTCTCTAATGCTGAAGAGAAGAGAATGTGAACTGTTTAGATGAACACAAATGTGTGTTCAAGTTTCATGTGGCAAATGAGGAAAATAGCCTTTGACTTTGGATAAAAACCAAACTAATGTTTTCTTAATGTTGAAAGTCAATACATTTGAGCATTTGACACTCCATAGATTCTGATTTGGAATGTTTTTTATCTGTGACACCAAAACTACAATGCTTCCTTTACTTTCTACATAAATAAGAGCAGGAGAAATCCTACTGCATTATTAATCTGAAAGCACAAGGACAGCTAGTCAGAAAATTCTAAACTGAAGAGAGTTTAAAAAAAACATTGTATTTTACTATTTTTTTTTACTAATGATTGAGTGAAATAGTTCATTAGGGAGATAGGCAATATTTAAATAAAGAATGGAGTTTGTCGTTGATTTTCGTCTTGGTTTTTCATAAACTCAACCTAAACAAAATATATTAGGATTTTAATCCCTTTTCTTTCATGAGTTACTGTTTGTTCTTCTGAAGATTTTCTCAGAAAGGCTGTACTCATTGTAATATTTTAAAAATAATTGGCAAAGTTCTCAAAGACAGTTACCATACACTGCTGTATGTATAGTGTGTAGTTTACCTTCAAGTCAATGAATAGGGAATTATAGAAGTTTGCAGAAGTATACCCAGGTAAATCAATCTCCCCAGAGAGAGTTGAACAGTGACAACTTCTAACAACAGAAAGGCAATAACAGCATTTAGCATTTTGTGATGTCAGAGATAGAGTAAAAACTTCTGCATAGTCATGGAACTTGAAAACACTTCAGCAGCTACATATTGAATCTTTTTAATGCAAACATTTCAAAGAGTCATATATTATATCAATTTATAATATAAGATGTTATATTATGCAAATGTAAAGTAGTTCTCATATATTAAGAAATCTCAAAAAGCTTCATACATGTATTATTCAATTTGCTAAAAATTATGTAAAATTGTGCTTTTTAAAACCCCCTCTCATAGAGGCATGTCTTCCCATTCTGAGTGTTTTATGTTTCAATGTTCTGCCAATCATGATGGCTTCAAAATCTCATTAGTTAGTACTTTAAGGCATAATATATACTTAGAAGTATATATTAAAGAGAGCAGATATAAATTTCCTCTTGATAATTTTGGATTGTTTTGGCAGATCTCTTGCCGGATCTGATTCTAGTACCACTGCTTTGTGAGCTATATCGTGGCTGACATAGAGCTCAAGTAGGGTAGAAGTGTCGGCTCGGCAGATTCTTGTTTATCATTGCTGTTCACTTGTGCTTGTTCAATTAGTGTTATCTTCTATCCACAGTTCCTTTGGTGGGATCTTTTAAAGCCAATTGTCCATTTTGTGAGGATTAGTTTAGTTAAAAATTAGATTATATAATCTCTAAATCCACTTAATAGGGCATGTATGAACTGCAATTCAGGAAAGGCGAGTGAGCCCCAAAGGGTGCCACTGTTGACCCCTTCGTGTTAGCCATGAAGCTCCTATGCCTCCCTCAAAATACTTGAGGCCTATGTGATGTATGAGCCACCTGTGTTCATGTATTAGAGACTGATGAGGCTTCATTTCTGTCTTATTTTTACGTTAAAAAATAATTGCAAATAGTTCTAACATGTACTTTCTGTACCCCCACGGGACTCATACGAACACACCCAGGGTGCTAATCACAAGACTGTTTCATCTAGAAAGGAATGTTATGAGTCACTGGTTCAGAGACAGCAGATGGAAAGGCAGGGGAGAAAAACGGTGATCAGAACACTGAGATTTTTCTCCTTGAACTTTTAGAGGATAACATCACCCCATAAAGATGATGAATATTCCTTTCACATGATTAAATAGTTCAAATGTATATAGTTTTTTTTTTTTAATGCAGAGAACTTCAAGCTCTGATATGGAAGTCAGGAAACATGGTTCAAGTTCTTGCCATCACTTAATTTTTCTAAGTCTTATTTTTCTCACTCTCTGAGGTACCATCCCAGACAGTGGGAGTGAGAGAGAAAGAACATGAGTCAGGGAATACTAGGAAGCATTTGTAGAATGAGGGAAAGTAACTCTAAAATTGATTTGGTTTGTCTCTGTGTCCCCACCCAAATCTCATCTTGAACTGTAGCTCCCATAATTTCCATTGTGTGGGAGGGACCCGGGTGGAAGGTGATTGAATCATGGGGTGGGTCTTTCCCATGGTGTGCTTGTGATAGTGAATTAGACTCATGAGATCTGATGGTTTTATAAAGGGGAGTTCCCCTGAACATGCCCTCTTGCCTGCCACCTTAGAAGGCATAACTTTGCTCCTCATTCGCCTTCTGCCATGATTGTGAGGCCTCCCCAGCCGTGTGGAACTGTGAGTCAATTAAACCTGTTTCCTATATAAATTACCCAGTGTTGGGTGTGTCTTTATTAGCAGCGTCAGAACAGACTAATACAAAAATCTGTTTTAGATTTGAGTCTGTTCTTGTTATTCTGTTGATTCATTAATTGATGAGTTGAATTTGATGCAGATCACTTGAATTTTCAAATATCAAATTAAGGCAAATGTGATAGTATAACTAGATAATACATTTACATAGCACTTTCAACTTTTCAAAGTACTTTTTCATCCATGATTCCTGTGTTCTTACAATTCTCTGCAAAGAGAAGGCATTTTTTTAAAAATTTCCATTCAATAAATGAGGAAAGCTGAAGTACAAAGAGTTTAAGTGACTTTCTTAATATCACAATACTAATGAATAATCAGGATTTATTAAAATTTCTGTTTTCTGAACCCCCAGCCATGGACTCTGATGCCAAATAACTTTCTTCAAAGTAACACAGAATCTGTGCTCATTCTGAAGTAAGGATCTGAGAAACCTGAAGGTTTAGAAGGGGCTGAATCTCCAAATCTAAAAGGACCTGAGACATAAGCACTTAATGAATAGTTAATGAAAGAATTAATTAATGAGTGAGTGAAATGAGTATTGGGGAGAAGTCAAACCACTTTCTAGGAGACAATATAGAAGTGGTAGAATGAGCACATTACACACTAGCACTGGCTCTGCCACTGTCAAGCATTGTCACCAAGGATAAATTATTGAGCCTCCATTTCCTTGTCCATAGTACTTTAATACTTACAGTGCACCAGCTATGTTCCAGTTGGTGTGCCACGTGCTGAGAATAAGATATTGTTCCTGCCCTTGAGGCATTTCAGGATATTAAGAAAGACAGCTGCAAGTTATTTCAATGAGAATTGGTAAAAAATTAGCCATGCAAAAATGAGATACATCATCTCAGGCTGAGGGCATGCCTTGTCCAAACATAAAGAAACAGGTGCGTTCTAGCATGGATGTTGGGAGGATTATAAGGCTTCTGGAATGATAAGTTGTAAGTGAGAATGCATCAGCAAGTGACACATAAGCTGATGGTAAGTCATGGAGGGTACTGTTGACTAGCTAAGGATATCTCGTAAATAGTGCAAAGCCAGGGAGGGACATGGTCAAGTTTGTGTTGTAGACATCCATACAGAGAGGGTTGGACTGTAGCAATGGTTTTTGCCTTAAGCCAGTTTCTCAAGAAAAATGGAGCACGAGGCAATGATTGAGTGCTGGTGCTTTATTAGGAGGTACCATCCCAGACAGTGAGAGTGAGAAAGAAAGAACATGAGGCAGGGAATACTAGGAAGAAATGCAAGGAAATATATTCATGGATTGGTCACTGTTTCTGGTATTTCAGAGATATAGCTGGTTGCTTAGCAGGTGCATCCATATGGCCACATGTGCACAGGCCATATGGAGAATTATGTTTTGGAACAGTTTGTGAAAGGGAAGAGGTGTGGGACATTGTCTTCCCATCTCCTATTACATTGATCACAGTTCACCCTACAAGGAGATAACTTCTGCATTGTTTCATGCAGCTTCCTTGGCAGTTGATCTGGGAGCCAGATACAATCTTCACAGTGTGGCTTCCTATCGAAGTGCAGAAGTGGCTTTAGAAGCCAGAAACTCAAAAGTATATGGCGGCTAGGCCTGGATGCACCTTGGCAGAAATGGGGAGTGCCTAGCTCATTTGGGACAGTGAAAGATCAGCCAGCCCTAGGTGGGAGACCCATGAGGACCCAAGCACAGTCAGTTGGTCATGGGTTTGGGATGAAGAGCAGCCCTTTGGGGAGGCATAGCCAAAGGAGCAGCTGAGGCAAAGCGAACAGCTGAGGACTCAGGAGACCATGGCTCCAGGAGAGCCTAGGGAGCTATATAAGCTGTGTCATGTAAGTTTTCAAACCACACATATAGAACCATCAGTATAAAACAGATGTCAGGAGAGCTGCTCTGTGAACCAAAGAGGATAGTCAGTCTATACCCCTTTTTCTCACACTGCCACCCATAGTGGCACACCCTACTGCTCTTTGCAATACAATTTGAAATTAGATGAGATGAGATGCCTTCTTACACCAACATTCAAGTTTTTTTAGCAATACATCTGAGGAATACTATTTCATTGCCTATAAGATAATTTTGTTCTCTTAGCTTTTTGATTTGTGGAATTGCAAAGAAAGGAAGATGCAGCAAATGTAAACATACAGTTACAACAAATTGTGGAATTTGAGGGTTTGAGAATTTAAAGTTCATCTGCAGATGAGAAAACTGAAATCCAAGAGGATAAGTTATCTTGAAAGAGGTCACATGACTAATTAATGTAAGACTGAGGTCTAGAACCAAGGGAATCTGACTCCCAAACCCGGGACTTTTCTCTGTGTATGTATCTGTGAACATATTTTTGGAATTCATAAATTTGTTTTGATGCTTTTTAAATTTTGCATTTTTATCTTGGTAACAATATAAAACCATTACTGTATACCTATCCTGAACCACCTGGATGACCACTTCTTACTTCTATATTCAAACAGTAGTGAAACCTCCCTTTGTTCAGGACATAACAGTACAGGTGAGCCAAATATAGAAGAATCTACCCCATAGCAGTTAGTACTGTATTCACATTGCACCAGACTATGTTGGAAGAGTTCCATCCTTGAACATATTTGTTCAAAAGTTATGAGGGGGTAGCAAATGCTTTTTCCTCAGCCAACGCCAGCAACAATATGATTTGATACCCATCAGTAAAGCTTTAAGTTTATCCTCAAGCCAACAAGAAAACTTTGCTTAGTTACAGGTGACACTTCATTTAAAATGGCATCTTACTCTCGAGTAGAATATTTAGATAAATAAGAGATCCAAATAACCTTAACTAGCACAAAGAACCTTGAAGTCATTAAATACTTTCTTGGCTGATATATTTATGAAAATGGGCATTCTCTACATTGGAATTATTAAAGTCAAAATTCTGAAACACTGAATATAGCACAGGACCTGAGATAAACTATTTCTATGAGTACACCCAATACTGAAATTTTAATTGTTACAGAAAAGCATAATATTCCCTATACATTTATATTGTTAATTTAAATTTATTAGTTTCATAGTTTCAAAATTCAATTTATAAATTTTTCTTAATCATCTTATAAGAACAATAACTTACAGCCTTCTTCTCTGGTTTATATATATTTTTAAAGCATAAAAATAACATATTTTCATACTTGGAAACTGAGATAATTCTTTCTGTTAAAAATAAGTCCAGGCACAAAGAGGGGAACGACACTGGGGCCTCCTTGAGGGCAGAGTTTGGGAGGAGGGAGAAGATCAGAAAAAGTAACTATTGAGTACTAGGCTTAGCACCTGGGTTACAAAATAATCTGTACAACAAGACCCTGTGACAGGAGAGTTTATGTATATTACAAACCTGCACATGTGCCCACCAAAACCTAAAATAAAAGTTTGGGGGAAAAAGTCGGCTGGGTGCAGTGGCTCATGCCTGTAATCCCAGCACTTTGGGAGGCCAAGGTGGGCGGATCATTTGAGGTCAGGAGTTTGAGACTAGCATGGTCAACATGGTGAAACCCTATCTCTACTAAAAATATGAAAAAAGAAAAATCCACTGAGCATGGTGGTGGGCACCTGTAATCCCAGTTATTTGGGAGGCTGAGGCACGAGAATTGCTTGAACCCAGGAGACAGAGGTTACGGTGAGTTGAGATCGCGCCACTGCACTCCAGCCTGGGCGATAGTATGAGACTCTGTCTCAAAAAGTCCAGGGCTGGGTGTGGTGGCTTGTTCAGCACTTTAGAATGCCGAGCCAGGTGGATTGCTTGAGCCCAGGAGTTCAAGAGCAGCCTGGGCAACATGACAAAACCCCATCTCTACAAAAAATACAAAAAAAAAAAAAAAATTAGCCAGGCCTGGTGGCACGCACCCGTAGTCCCAGCTACCTGGAGGCTGAAGTGGGAAGAATCACCCAAGCTTGTGAGGTCAATGCTGCAGTGAGCCATGATCATGATCGCACCACTGCACTCCAGCCTAGGCAACAGAGTAAGACCTGGTCTCGAAAAAATTAAAATTTAAAAAAAAGTCCAGATATTACCCACTTTGAGAAGCACTGCTAACAGTGCTTCTTCCTGGGATGCATGGTTACTTAAAGATAGAGTGGTGGAGAAAAGCCTAGATCCTGGATTCCAGAGTCCCAGGTTCAGGTGGGCTCTGCTAATAACTAACTGTATGTCTCCCCTCCATCATGTACCCTCCCTGGCCCTCAGTTTTCTCATTGGTAAATTAAGGAGACTGCAAGAATCACAAATCCTTCTGCCTACTAGAGCAAGGTAGTGTAATTAAGTGAAATAGGCCAGTATGGGGAACAGTAACTAATTCAGAGGACATTTACCCTGTATTTAAAAATATTTATATTCAAAACTTTTTTAGCACAAGCAAAACAACAAATCTGTGAATCAGATTCCATCTGAAAATTGCCAGCTTGCAAAGCCTAATTTATATAATCTTGAGAGCAGTTTCCCCACCTGTAAAGCATTAAATGCAATGACTAATATAAATTAAGAGGAACCAGCATCTATATGATCAGTACAAAGTGGTAATGGGCATAGAAGAAAATCCTTCAGAAGACATCAATGCGTTTTAGTGCTGCAGCATTATATAAAAAAGGAAGGGACCGGGAAATGCATGATCAAAGTGAGTGGGAAAAAAAAGAAAAAAAAAAGTGAGTGAAAGACTTTTCTTGGTTCCAACTGTACCCAACCAAAAATATTGTCTGAATTATAGTCTCTCGTCAATTCTCTAGTATTATACTCCCTATCCAAGCCAGAGTTATTTGCATTCAACAAACTATGGGCCCAGCAGTGTGTCAGGTGCTGGAAAGATCTCTAAAGATAATACCTTTTTTTTCATTAGAGAATATGTTTGAATGGTTGTTTTCCACTGTGAAAATTTTTAACCTCAGTTTGTTCCAGGTATTATTGATAAGAACTTAATTCCAATTAAAATTTAAATATGAGATAAGGGATGTGATATGTTTTTTCACCCTTCAGAGTTTGAGGAGACAGCATGAGAGTACCTTGGAATGCAGTTATTTGACATACATTCTAACTTCAGGAAGATGTTTTCCAGACTTGTACAGACTGTAATCTCTCAATTTCTCAGGAGTTAGCATTTAAGTACACACGGACTTTCTGCTACTGACCAGGGCATTGCTTATTGTTTTCCTTTCTTACATCAATATTCCTCTTCCTCCCATTCGTGTCTAGTCCCAGACATCCCTCATATTAACCAGTAGGCAAAAATAAAAGGCCTATTGAAATATTGGACTTCAGTTCAATATCTGCAATCACTCTTGCTAAAGAGATGTTTGAACTCAACTACAAGCTTTGAAACACTGTCCATAGGAGTTTAGTTTAAAAGCAAAACCATAAATACCAAATAGAGTGAGGAATAAGAAAGAGCAAGAATTTAATCTGTCTCTGACCACGCAGTTTATGGTAGGTTACCACATTTATTCTTATAATTGGCTATTTCCTATTTTAAATGCCTTTCACTCATGCCTGCCACCTTTCTCTCCGTTTATTAGCCTTGTGGTCACCATATTACCTTTCTCTTCAAAATCAACTGACATTTTTATGAAAAGCGTTTTCAGGGTATTAGCTCTGAGAGAGTGGCATACAGAGCAGGCACTGCCACATTAGAAATCCCCTCTTAGCACAACTCAGGTGCCTAACACTTGAGCTATTATGTTTTCAGGAGATTTATATGTTTTTATTTCGGTTTATACAGAGTACTATGAATATATTGGCATGGTTTTAAAAAATGTAAAATGTATGGCATCACAATGGTACATATTCTATTCACTGCTTAATAACATTTACGAATGAGGGGAAAACATCCATTTTTTAAAGGTAACACAAAAATTCAGAATTTTGGTAGTTGGTCTCTCTAGATGGCACACATCATTTTTTCTATAAGCAAAGCCCCAGTGACCTAATTCCTTAGGCCACCTAGAGATAGGAAGTCCTTACCACTTTATGAATACCGTGACAGTGGGTAATAATAGAATTTCAGATTAACATATTTTTTTGTATCTTACAGGAAATAAACAGTTACAGACCCTACGATAATGAGGGTCTGAATTTTGTGAAGAAAGTCAGCTGACTTGAAAGATGTATTCTTCCAATGGTCCAAATAATATTTCTATTGATTTATGTTTCATAGAACTCTGAACAGCTGTTTGATATGGCAAAAAAAAAAAAAAAGCCACTTGCTGATTCAAAACATTTGTCTCTAGGTGCCAGGTCGACCTGTCAGCCCTCAGTAGGGAACAGACGCACAAGCTGGAGTTGCAGCTGGAAGAGGGTGAGGGACACCTGGTGCTGCTGGTCACTCTGACAGCATCAGCCACAGTCAGCATCTCTGACCTGTCTGTCAACTCCCTGGAGGACCAGAAGGAACGAGAGGAGATATTAAAGAGATATGTACGTATGTAACCCTCCTCCTTCCAGAGACACATGTGACTAGATCAGGTTGTAAACAATTTACCTGGAGGGACAGAAGTACTTCTGAGAAGTTGTCTGGTGGAAGAATTGGCACAAGTAAAAAGCTGAGTGAAAACAAATGCCACACAGACCTTTGCCGAAGTATTTGCATTACCCACCCATGTCTAGAGACTTGATCTTCTCTAGATTCTCTTCCAGAGCAAATTCTGGATTCTGAGATTCTACTCAGTGATTTTATCATGCAGGGATGCTACCCATATAGGAAGGCCAGGTTTATACAATGTGACTTTAAAATTAATTTATTGATTCTTTGTAGCTGCAATTAAAATGTCTTTGTCTTTCCAAGTTTGCGATGGAGTTAATGGTACTTACGTTAATTAGTACGCTGGTAACTAAAGAGTATCCACAGGAATGATTTTTATTTTCAGCTGCTCAGGAAAGCCTCACTTCATTCCTTTAATTTTTTTAATTGAATGTGAAATAGAATTAAAGGAAGTCTTCTGCTTTTTGATCGAATGTGGAACGATAGTATGGAATAGTGAATCACTAAAATGACTACCCTCTTCAAATTTTACCTAACTGAAATATTCACAACCAAATCTTACTATTTCCCAGCATCCTCCCGCTGGACATTTCCCACCATGTAGTTTTCTTGAATCAACAGAGAGGGGAGCTCTTACTCCACCATTCTCTCTCAATGAAGGTTTGAAAAAGTAAATGCCTTAGTACCCATGAAGCTGGGAAAAAAGCTTTTCCACTTAAAATGACAAAGCTTGTATTGTACAGTGCCGCCAGGTGTTTAGAAGGCTCCTCTAGACACTCAGCCATGAAACCAAGCTCTAACAAAGAACCACTTTTTTTTTAGACTTTAAAATATTCCTATTTGCTGACTGACATCCTTTCAATAACTGAATTTAATAAAGATGTACCTTATCAGTCTGTGCAGATAACATGAAGTGCTGGTACTAATGCTCTACAATATTCTTCAAACAGATTAGCAGGATGTGCGCTTCAGCAAATTTATTCTGGCTATCTCCACTGAATCAGCTGTCTGCTAATGCTTGTACAACTCATCCACCA
The DNA here is from genome assembly GCF_000001405.40 of Homo sapiens. Taxonomy (NCBI): domain Eukaryota; kingdom Metazoa; phylum Chordata; class Mammalia; order Primates; family Hominidae; genus Homo; species Homo sapiens. The sequence continues at coordinate 94,893,547 of NC_000005.10, read as the reverse complement.
ATGGTGTTATCATAAACAGTTTAATAGAGGTGACTTAGCAAGGCTAAATAGTATATATTTTTAAACCACCTAAGAGCCTAAGATATTGTGTGACATCTTCTAATATATAATTGCAGTTATGAAGATTATTTTACACTGTGGTATCCACCAAAATATATTCTTCTGTTACCAGAAGTGAGCCTCATGAATTACAACAATTTTAATGGAATTAATCAGTATATTAATATAAAAATTCTTCTAGGCATTATACTATAGTTGATGGATTAATATTTTGATATTATCCCGTATATTAAGGGATACTGCTGCCTAAGTAATTAGAAGTAATCCACCTATTATTAATTTTTTTTCTTTTTGCTGGATGGCTGAATGGCAATTGGCCATTTCCATTCAGAATTTGAATATTTGTTTCCATGTCTTTTTTCAATAAAATGTAAAATATTATGCGGATGTTTGACTTAATTCTCAGATTGTATTCTGCTCAATATATTCAAAAATGAACTATGTTTAAATATACTTTTTTTCAGCCTTGAATTTCAGGCAGAGGCCTATACCTCCCTCTAGAGACATACCTGCTACGAAACCACTATATGCAACATAGCACATCTGTTATATTTACTCATATCCATAAAAGGACAAAGACCTATGGATTAGGATTTCAGTGTGTTTCCCTTTTATTATAAGGATCATGAAATGAATGAATGAATGCCATATCATTTCTGAAATATCATTTGTTTTGGAGAAACATATAATGGAGGTTGTTTGGAGAATTATTTCTATATTTTCCTGCAAGAACATGTGTATTTTTAAAAGTTGAGGTCAAATTTAGGAATTTGACATTGGTCACTGTCAGGGAAGCAAATAAATTGCCCCCACTCTGATATGAAACAGCCCTAAAAAAAGCCCTCCATTGCTGTTGTTTAGCTGTTCATTGCTAAGGATTGAAGCCCCACAAATTAAACAAACATCGCTCTGTGAGCCATTTTTTGATCACCACATTCTGAGAAGATGGCTAATTCCATTTTTCTTTTTTCCTCTTTTAGGGGGAGGAAATGAGGGAAGGTCAATAGGGGGCGGGTAGTAATGGGTAGTAGACCAAGAGCAATTGTATGACCTTTTCAGAACGGGTATGCTGAACCCTTGCTCCCCCTTGTCACAGTTTAAAAACCAGAGGAGCTAGTTTAGAGAAGAAGTTGTTAGCATTCCATTTTTATTATGACATTTCACAGTCATCTGATTTAATGTCCCTTGACCGGATTGTCCACCGTGAGACGATGGGCTTGAAATGTTATTTAGAGCATTGATAAAAGGTGAGCGGTTCTAAGATGACAGCGAGTCATAAGGCTGGTGGTGTGACATTAATTTTCTCCATAACAGAGATGGAATAAGACGTCACGGTGACAAGCTGTCAATCAGCTCTGGCCCCTCAGAGCATCTCGATGCCATAGGATGGGGTATTGCCTCTCCCGTAATAGAGCTGAACTGAGATGCTCTCCCTGACAGCTGCTGCAGCCATAGAGAAAATATATTATACAGCCTTTCATTAAAAAAATAAAGAGGACTCCTCTCCAGAGCATTTCAATCTTTTCCCATCTATTGAGGGCTGAAAGGATTCACAGCAAATCATAGATTCCTCTGCTATGGAAATTTCTGGCTTCAGAAGCCATCCGGGTTTTTAGGCCTTCTAAAATAACCGTAAATAGCAAGGCAGGAATACCTCTTGATGAATACCTCTTGATGAAGTTATGTTTTTAAACCAATATATTTATTTATTTATTTATTTATTTATTTATTTATTTATTTTTACTTCTTATTATAATCGATGTGTCACTGGCCTAAACCGTTGAAATTTGCAATAAATTATGGAGTGTCAGCTGACTTGGGGAAATGAAACCTTCAAACAATAATTACCACTCCAAATGGGAAGCAGAGGATCAGAGCCGAAGCACCTGAAGACAATATGTCTGTGGAATGAGGCTACCAATGTGAAAGGATTCTCAGACATAAGGACTGATTATATTCGTCTTAGTCAAAATAGAACTTGATTTAAATTGCCTCTGAAAATTAAAGCACGGAAACCTTTTTTTGATAAAACTATTCCCCATCATTAGGGTCGAAGACTTACCTGATTTACAACATTGTGTAAGCTCTGAGATAAGAAACTTTCCAAACTTGCTGTTACTGTAGGAACACAACGTGCCCACAAACCTCTGAATTATATTCTGTTGTCTAACGCCCCCACAGTGAAACCCTTCATTTACAGGAATTTAAATGGAGAGAGAAGTGCATTTTTACTGAACCTTGTCACCTGGGTATTTTAAATAGATTTTTGGTGATAAACAACTGTTTAAAAACAATAAAAGATTAACAGTTAATCCTCATGCTAAACACTCTTATAAAAAGTTAGGCTATGAGATTACTCATGTATCCGCATTTCCTCCTCTCAATATACGAAGGTCATAGTTTCAGTGTAAACAATTACTGGTCATACGGGACTGATAAAGTTCATATTGCAGTAAGCTTTTGCTTGTCAGTATTCTCACATTATTAATATGATGATGGGAATGCTTTTTACTCTAGTAACATTTTAATAACTTTATAATGCAAAAGTATGTTACGTTCTCTGGTTATGAAACATTTTATAAATTATGAAAAAGAAGTACCTTTGATTTACAGAGTAGAAGTGCTGATCGTGTCATAAGAAAAATGCTATGAAGTGTAAATAAACAAATGCATATTAGCATTCTGTTGGTTCATTTTACTCTCAAAGTATTTGTGCCCATTAATTAGACTTCTGAATTATTGTATTGGTTTCCCTCTTTTAATTCCTTCAAGTGCTACACTTATAAAACACCACCATTATTAATTTATGAAGTGAAATAGATTTTATCATTTGGATCTGTTTTTTCTATTGAAGTTTCAATACTTCTGTGCATACTAAAATAGCAAATAAAACTGTAAATTTAAGAAAAATTTCCACTTTTGAATTTATTTTTAGTCATCAATTTGATTGACTGTAAAAGATTGTGTATGTCTTTTACTTATGTAGAACTACAGTAGTCTTTTGAAATAAATACTAGAAAATAGTCTTTAGGTAATTTAATCCTCATCTAACCCATGCAATTTCCAAAACTCACCAAGAGGAAAATAGTAGAAAAAAATAATTAGTTTAATGTTGATCTTCTTATCCCCAAAGTCTGAAGAGTGTTATATATCCAACAATGTGAGATTTAATATTGATAATTAGGCTGAAAGTGGTGGTTCATGCCTGTAATCCCAACACTTTGGGAGCCAAGGCTGGAGGATCACTTGAGGCCAGGAATCAGAGACTATCCTGGGTAACATAACAGGACATTTTTCTACAGAATTTTAATTTTTTTTTAAGTTAACCAAGTATGGTTGCACATGCCGGTAGTTCTAGCCACTCAGGAGGCTGAGGTGGAAGGAATGCTTGAGCCCAGGATTTGGAAGTTACAGTAAGCTATTATCATGCTACTGCACTCCAACCTGAGTTAGACCCTGTCTCTAAAAAAATAAAAATAAAAATAAATTTTAAAAAAGCCACTAATCTCCAAACCATTATATCTACAGATGAAAATTTTTCTTGGAGTGGTTTGCTGGCTAGAGGAGATTGAAAAAGGAAGCAGACATATCTATTCCATAATTTATTGTTCAACATTTATTGATAATTATTTATGGGATTAAATGTGTTTTTTTTATTCTTTCAGAAAATCTACTTATATAGCAACAATTATCCACATAGAGGGGTGTGTGTGTGTGTGTGTGTGTGTGTGTGTGTGGTGTACATTCATGAGGGTGGAAGGGTAATTTATACTGAAGAAACACAAATGACCCTTTGAACCCCTTATGCAGCATCAACGTTTCCATTCTATACATACTAAAATGGCAAATAAAACTATAAATTTAAGAAAAATTACTCACTATTTTGAATTTATTTTTTTGAGTTGGAGTCTTGCCCTGTCACCCAGGCTGGAGTGCAGTGGCGCGATCTTGGCTCACTGCAACCTCTGCCTCCCGGGTTCAAGCAATTCTCTGCTTCAGCCTCCAGAGTAGCTGGGATTACAGGTGCCCGCCACCACGCCTGGCTAATTTTTTTTGTATTTTTGGTAGAGATGGGGTTTCATCATCTTGGCCAAGCTGGTCTTGAACTCCTGACCTTGTGATCCACCCACCTCAGCTTCCCAAAGTGCTGGGATTACAGGTGTAAGCCACTGCTCCCGGCCTGAATTTATTTTTAGTCATCAATTTGATTTATTTTAAAAGATACTGTATGTATTTTGCTTATGTAAAACTACTTAAGTTCTTATGTAGAATTGCATAAGTCTTTTGAAATAAATACGAGAAAACAATGTTTAGGTAATTTAATCCTCAGCTAGCACATGCAATTTCCAAAACTCACCAAGAGGAAAACAGTAAAAAAAAAAATTAGTTAGTTTAATGTTGATCTTCTTACCCCCAGAGTCTGAAGATAAACTAAAAAATGTAATGTTTTCTCAGCACACTCTTTAAGACTCCTTGGGACCTCCCTTTTCTAATACTGATGTTGGGGTCTTTCAGAGCCCATTGAGGATATTTCACAACCTGAAAGATGTGGGATTTCTCCAGGTGAAAGTCATCAGAGCGGAAGGGTTAATGGCTGCCGACGTCACTGGTAAGAGATGATGCAATTCTCCTATTGCTCAGATCAAGCAGCACACAAGGTCTACACCATTTAATAATTCAACTTTGCATTTCACCTGATGGATCATCAAAATAAATAATTTAAAGATTCAGGGATGATCTTAGAAATATTTGCCAACCCCCTGATTTTTATAGTATCTCTGCTTTTTAAAGGCAGGGTAATGTATTAAAAATAAACACTAAAAAACAAAATGACTTTTGAATTGTTGCCTTCTTCGAAGTTTAATCAATGTAGTAGGAATACGTCTTCCAGATATTGTTATTTCCAGGTATTGAACCAATGCTTTACAGAATCAGCTTCCCTCATAGCATCAACACTTATAATTCAAACATGCATGAAATCTGTTGCACATTTTGCTGAAAATTTTAGGTGCATAATACTCAATAACTTGGTATCAACTCTTGATATTTGGGTTGCTGATCCAACTCATTAGTCACCCAAATTCCCTGGCACATCCCAGAGATAATTTTGGATCTAAACTAAGTCTCTAGATTGTTTGAAATTTCTTAAAGTAGGAAACAAGGCTGTACAAATGTCCACATTAGTTTTGTCTCTTAAAGCTTCCTGATTTGCATAATACTATTTCTGTAACATATTAACAAACAGGCTGATGGCAATTATTCCATCAATTTCCAGAATTAAATCATTATTTTGAATTTATAACAATGTGACCATTCATTTATGATTTAATTTCATAAGGATTTGGGGGATGCTTATACTGTTCCTTAAATTATCCATCTCAAGTTAGACAATAAATAGGACTGGCTTGACCATTTGTGCAAATTTCACTGTTTCTGAAAGAAAATATCAACTTATCATTCTGGAAATATGCTTACCATTTTGAACATTCAGCCAGATAATCCTAATGAGGTAACAAACTTATTTCAAGGGAAGAAATGTGCTTTTTCTACCATCCAAGGACCTGAAATCACTGTGCACTTCTTTAATTCATTCAACAGAATCAAAAGCAAATTAAAAGGTAACATGCCTTCAAATGAAAAATAGCAGATGTTTGTTCCAAAACTGCAATATTTTTATATTTTAATATTTGCCTATTAAGTGACCATGTGTGAGAAAATTTAAAATATTAGTTTACAGTTCCTTTAAAAAGGTAATTATCAACTCATTTGTAACCAAGAAGATGATAACAGTTGTCACATATTTTTTCAAAACAGGAATACCTGAAAATGGGAGAGTGGGTAGTTTGTAATATTTGCATATATGCTAATTTGGCTCCTTGTATAAAACAATTAATGTAAAATGTATATACATGTTCCTACTTATGAAATTTCTTTCTAGTATGATTATAATCAAATTAATCTGGCACAATCATTTCTTTTAGAAAAATGCAAGTACCATTTATTTCAAAAGCTTAGATACCTGCCCATTATATAATTGGATAGAATTGTATAAGTTTGTCTTCTTTGGAGAGAAGCTGTCATTGATTTTCAAACTTCATGAATATGCAAACTAGATTAACCCAGTTGGCCTGTGTGCCACTATGGAAGTTAAAATACATGTTCTCTCAAAGCTGGAAAAAAATAGAGATATTTCTCTCCTAATGGTTCTATGTAAATTGATGTGAATAACAATAGCCTTTTCCCTGGGGATTCAATGAGACATAATTTTCATTTGATAAAATGAACATTAATTTGGGGAATACTAAATAACAGAGTCTCCATTTTTTTCCTCCACTTTTAGAGATATAAATCTAATGATTCCCCATTTCACGCTGACCTTATAATCTAATGTGCTCTGAATTGAACAAGAGAGATGTTGAACTATTCAGGGGCAAAAAGATAATTCAGTCTTTGACCTTGCTCACTCTTGGACCTTCTGTGGTCTTTATGACATTTGTGATGGTGGCAAAAATTGAAAGACTATATATTTGAGTCAGAAATGTCTGAATATACTACCAATTTTAAAAATAATTTTTACTTTTGAAAAGGATACTTTATATATACACACACACACACGCACACATGTATCCTGATGCTTCCTTGTCTTTGTCATTAAATTTGGGACACAAGTAAGTTCTTTGTCTGCTTTCTCTTTTACTTGTTCAAAGAACTTTAAAGATATGATGTGCGTCTCAGTGGATAATAACAGTCAGCCTCTACAAGTTATTAGGCAATAGTTTGAAAAGAGGCAATTGACTAGCGCTGTCTTCAAATCCTCAACTTAGCGTCCATTTAGGAATTTTGTCGATGTAGAGGGGAGTTTTTAAATCACTGGTAACTGTCTGTGCTAAGGCAAGAATATTTTCTAACATGGTACAAATGAGCCTGTTACTGTAAGATACACGGTTGATTTCAGAACACTTTTTCTAAATAAGTCTAACGAGACAAATCTATATTTGAACAACTTGGCTCTGTTTTTTTGATATTTTTAATGATCTGAACATAAAGTTAAACTCCCATTGTTTCAGCAAAAAATGTTAAATTATAATATTCCATCATTAGACATGAGCACAGGAAAGAAAGATTCTATAGTCTTTTAAGTAGCCATCAATCTTACTACAGTTACAAAGAATTTTTCCCTTTCAAAATGTAAAATTTTTCTTTTGTTACAACACATTCATTGAGAAACATTGTGATACTGTATTAACTCTGTGTGAATAAAGAGCAATTGAGACTCTCTTTGAATGAGTGAGTATAAAGCACAAATTACTTTTTAATGAAACCCTCAATTCTTTCCCTTTCCACAAAAAGCCTATAGCCTTGTTCAGCTGAACACTACTACAGTAGGTCACTTCAGTTAAGCCCCTAATAAACTGTTGATAGTCGAGGGTAGTTTTTTCTTCGGTCTCAATAGCCCAGTGTTGGACAGTGCACTTCAAATCATTAAGGTTAATACAGATTTAAAAAAGAGATTAACTCTGGTGGTTAAGGCCTCAATTTACAACTCCCACACATACACATGCATTGAGCAAGGCACAAGAGTGGATTGAAATTTCAGTCAAATTGTGGGCAGCTTTTCACAGCCTGAGAAAGTGGCACTCTGGTTTGAAAAGTTGGTCAGCTAAATTCTTCGTAAGGGAAAAAATTTGAGTCACTGAAAAATACCTCTCAGTACAACTTACTTACCTTTCAACTAACCAGTGAAAAGGTTAATGTCTCTCCACACCATCAAAGCAAGACCTAGAGACTGTCTGGCCCCGCGTTCACTGGGGAACATTCTCTCTGCAGCTAGATCAAGTTTTCCTTAAAACTCTACACGTTGTGAGGAAAGGCCAGCGGGGTGGGGTGGGGTGGGTGGCGGGAAAATATTTTTTCTTTGGGTGGTAGGAAATAGTTCATATTATCATATGTCTTTTTTAGCTTATGATTATTCTTTCCCTTGAGCAGGGCCTAATTTTTGCCTCAACAGAACATTCCAAGTCTCCTATATTGAGTGAGGCTTTCTTTGCAGAGTATTTAGACCTGGCCTATTGGTTCTTTCAAGTTCTAAGAGGAGAAGGAGAAAAGAGTTCTTCTCCTCCGCCCCTCCCCTTCATTTCATTTTCCCCTGGGTTCTCTCTCTCTTTCTCTCTGTTTTTTTTTTTTTTCTGAGCTCCTAAGGAAGAGGTCATAGCTTCCCCAGGGAGACCAGCCACTCAGTTTCAGAAACAGCGACATGGGAGAACTGTGAAACCCTTCAAAAGATGTCCTACCTTTTCACTGTACTGAAAGGTACACTAATATAAAACTTCTCCACCCCAGGTGAATTGATCTCTCAAATTAATGCACCATCTCCTTCAGGAAACAATAGAGGGAGAGGAAGAGAAAAAGGGGGAGAGAGAGAGAATTTTACAATTAATAGAATGTGTCACTGAAATAGTCCCATTAAATAAGTGTATCTTTTTCTAAAACAAGGCTATGCATAAAGACTTGTGACTTGCCAGCCCCGTAGTCTGGAAACCTACTAGTTATTAAGAGAGATGTTTACTACCCCTTTATTTGCATAGACTTTTCCCATGTTTTTCTTTTGGAAAACTGTCTTCATTGTTGGAAAATATTTAAGTAACAAAACAGCAGAAAAAGACATGCTACAGTTTTTTTATCAGCTTCCGTGAGAGTCTTATTATCTTAAGAAATAACAGTTAGCAGCTCAGATTCATTAGCAGAGCTAAATTTAAGCCCCATTTGACAGGCTGCCTAGAAAACATTTTGTTTTGCTGTCTGTGGGCTTTAATTAAGATGTGTTCAATTTCAGTCCTCTTCAGTCTAGCTCCCGCCCCCCCAGCCCCCACCCCCAACTTGCTGTGTCACAGACCGGCGATCAGACACTTTTAGATGGTCCGGCCCATGACTTTGACCTTCTGCGCAGTCCGGCGTTCCCTGGGGAACCGTTCAACTCATGAGGTCTGATTTCACACTTCCAGGATGCCTCAGCTCTCTTAACAATGACAGGGAGACAAAGCCCTTTAGAGCAGGCCGCATGGGGACTTGTTTAAATTGGAAACCAGAGAGGAGTCAAGGAACAAGGTTATGGGCTACAGAATAGTGCTTTTAATAAAGAGCTCACAGCTCTGGCTCAGCTCAAAGAGGTCTACCTCTGTACAATTAATTGAGCCATTTATCTGGAGCATCTTAGGCCTCTACTTTCTCACAGAATTGCGTGGTAAATATCAGCTAAGAAGCAAATGAGATATGCATGAAATGAATTTTAACACTTTGATTACTGTGCCTCCAGTCTTCATTAAAAGTAAATTTATTTGTATTTCTGACCTCATTATCAGGAGGCTGCCTGCATTTTTATTGGTTCCTGTGATTTCCAGCTTGAGTGTGTCATGAAGGTATATTTTATACAAAGATTTGGATTTATTATTCTTGATATTTTCCCTGAACATTATGGGTCTATTCAGAGAAAGAAAATGAAAAGGCAGCTGTACAGAAAAAGGCAAGTCTGATCTTTGAAAGTTTTATATACAGTTGGAGAAATACCAAGCACATATACATGACATAGACAAGATATTGTCCTTTTAAAAAAATTAACTTTTGGTGGGTTACGCTAGCAAATAGCTTAAGACATATGCAGTTGTTACTTCAAGTGCCCTGTAGAAAACAATTGCTCAATTGGAAGAAGTTGCTAAGTTGCTTTTTAAAATAGGATTGTAGCAGTTTGAATTAATAGCATGTGCCTTTAATTGTCATCATCATATTTAATAAAATCAACGATGTCTGATAAATGCAGCCTTAGATATTACCATCATTCTTTAAAATTTATGTTGGAAGAAGATAAAATATAAATCCTTTAAGTTCTACGTAATTTCATTCAAAGAACTGTATAAAATGTAGTGGAAGTCCTTCATCTTGGTATATTATCAGGGATAAAATAATCTACCAAATAAAAGAGAGGATGTGCAAATAGTCATAGTTTCTTAACTTTACTATCTTAACATCTGAAAATTATATTGCTTGAAACAAAAATCCTAAGCTTTAACACAGAATATATAGGACATTCCTCAAGGAAAGTATGCTTTATTCCCATTATATAAGCTAATGTTCCATTTGCTTTTTAATAATTATGCTCATAGAAGACTTTTAAGCAGATAGTGTACCATGAGAAGACATTTTATCCAATTTATAATGCATCAGAAATATACAACACCTGCTGTTCTTATCACGGTAATATACCTGGTTTAGAAAACAATATTATATACATGTACATGATAAATGTATTAATACTATATAAATCTTTTCCTTAAGAATGAGCCTAAACAAATAAAAATATCACAGGGAAAGAAAGCAAATCATTGTTCTTCCTTCTTTTATGTCACCACATCTTACATACAAATAAAACTTACTTTCTTTAGTAATTGCATTTTTAAAACCTAGCCAAATTCTAATTATAGGAAAAGTGTTCTTCTAAAACCAAAGAGTTGTTATCAAATATCTCCAAAAAGAGGAATGAAAATGATAATTTAGCACAAGGGCTGATGAGGCCTGAATCTGAGACAGTGTTTTAAAGAGAATTACAGAAATCATGTGTGATTCATATGCAGGTCACATGGTTAGAAGATACTGCCCTGGAAGAATAGGTGGGATGACAAAAGAGATTAATAATTGGGTTTGATATGCACTAGAGGTGAAGGACTATGGGCTGAGAAAGTGGTGGTCCCACTATCAATGGGAAATGAGGGAAAGAGAAATACTATAAAATAATTAATCAGGTTCTGTAGAACAAAGATTACAAAATGATCCTTTGAGTAAAGAAATAGCAAATTGCTGATTTGGCTCAGAGGGCTAGCTCTAGGATTTCACTCAGTGCTTGAAGAAATACCTTCATGATGCTAGAATCATTGTTTAAAATTAAACTTAAAAAATATTTTGTTACATTGCAACATAATTGTGCAAATAAGTGATGTATTTTCTAGAACAACGGATCAAGGAAATGCTACAAATAGAGAGGATCTAGATTTAACTAGATTTTTTGAAAAAAAAAAACTTACTACAGAGATACTTGGGTTAAACGATAGTATAGTTGGACTCGTGAATGACTAAATAGTCAAGCCTAAAGAGTAATTATTAAAGGATTGATGTCACTGGGGATGCCAAGTGGGTTACAGGGCTCTGTCCTTGGTCTAAGCTGTTCAATGTGTTTACTAATTACTTTGAGGAGGTAATTGACTGCTTCCTTATCAAAGTTGCTAGGAGGGCTACTTAATTCATTTTATGTGAGACCAGTATATGTATACAATCCTATACTACAGACAAATAATAGGCTTAATTCAACAAGATGAACATTAAAAAGTATAAATCCAAAGTCTTTCCTGGGTACTAAACTGTGATATCTTGCTTTAACCATAGAGAATAAAGAAAAGACTTTAGGATTTGAGTTGAGTTTAAACTCCATGAGAGTAAATTATACATACATCAGTTCTGTTACATTGAATAAAGGTGAAATGTTGAGAGTGGACTCATCAAATATGCTGGGGTATGAATCCAGTTTGTGAATACTCTTTAAAGAAGGACATTGACTAACCAGAATATATTTTCAACTGGTATATCTGGCGTTTTAAAATCACGTCAATTGAGAATAGTGCTGGAATGACAATAATAACAATAATAATGACAACTAACATTTACTGAGCCCTGATCACATGTCAGCCACTAACCTGAGCTTGGTGCAAGAATTATCATATATGACTAATCTCACAACAACCTTATTAGGGACTATTGTTATTCCCACTTTATAATTTGGAAAACTGAAGAGGCATGGAGAAGTTAGGTAACTCTTCCACGATCAACACACACACACACACCAGCTTGTAAATGGCAGGGCAGGCATGCTGATCTAGATCTTTCCACAAAAGCCACCGACATATTTGTACTGGAGAAAAGAAGAACTTGAGAACATATGATTTCTTTTATCAATTATCCAAAGGCTTGTCATGAGGAGAATGTAGATAAGAGCTAGCAAGGAGGGTTAATGGCCAAGGTTTAGGTCCAAAGAGCAAACTTCCTTCTAGAAAATTTAATCAGAAGGGGATTTATAATAAAATATTAACTAAATCACAGAATCTTTGGGGGGCAGGAAGGGCCTAAGAAAAGAGACTCTAAGTTCAGTCTCTGGAGGTTAGTACTAAAGCCACATGGCAGAACCAAGGAGTTGTTGACATTAACGAGTTGAGAAGACACTGTGACAACTGATACATGACCCCTGCTTGCAGTCTGCAGCAGTAAAATTAACTCCACGTGCTCTCACTTAATTGAATTCTAATATCAAGTCTTAGGCAAGAACATCTGATTCATGCAACCTAAATCACATCTACATCTCTAGCTGCAAGAGAATCTAGAAATGTCACTTTAGGCTTAATATCCTCTATAGATCAGGAAGAGACACTAGCAAATAGTTGGAATGGATGCTCAGCAAGCCATCCACAGTGTCCAGCAGAGGACAGCAGATAATGAACATTGATCACATATTCCCTATGTGATAGATGCTGTACCCTCCCTTCATGCCTATCATTTCATTAAGATTTTCTAATTACTACAGAAGGCAAATTATAGAATAGATAAAAAGCTACAGAGACATAATTTTATACATGACGTGAAGAAACATTTTCCACAAATTACATTTGCCAACAAAAAATAGATCCAAAGATTCTTGTAGAAGTAATGATTTCCACATTACTAAAACTTTCGAAGCAGAGCCTGAAGGACCACCTGGTTGCAGAGATGATGCAAGCCCTGGATGAAGTTTTGAACTTGACCTCTAAGATTTATTTCCAAGCCTTCAGATTCTAAGATACTGTAGCAGTTACCAAGATAAATAACAGATTCCTGGATGAGATATTTTGTAAAAGAGGAATAAAGAGACAAAGACGTTATTCTAAAGGCAAAGACTTAACAGATGACAATTTTCAGTTATTGCCTTTAATTGGTTTTTAAAAATGTATTTAAAATGTTTAATCACCTAATAGAGGACTTAATTTTTTTAAGCATAAAAAAGTTATTTCACTGCAAAAGGTCTCTCCAGCTAATTAGTTTACTTATAGGAAAGCTTATCTGAAGCCTCATGCTTTTCTGCAGGAAGGTCTAATTGAGTATATATTTACTATAAGTCCTAAAGTATCTAACAAGCCTTGCAAAAACAAAGGAACTTCTAATGTATTTTTATTCTCATTTTAGACCAAACAACTTTTGTGTTTCTAAGCTTGTAACGAATCACTTGCATATAGTTTCTATATTAAATATGAATTGAAAATGAAGTATTTAAATGTTCTTACCATAATTTATCTAAGCTGTTAAAAGCTTAGGCATAATTTTCTCACGGCCTCTTCTCATTTTATAGGTCCCATAGTCTCCTTCCTCTTTCTTTTCCAGTTTCTCATCTGTCTCCTTTCCCTTCTTATTCTTCTGTCATAAATTTTGAGCTTCCCAACATATATCAATATGGTTCAATTCCAAGACTCAAGAATGCATCTAGTTACACACAATTCTGTAAATATTCTTTTGCAGATAGTTCTATATCCCAGGGGAAATAAATTCATATTTACATTGAGCTTTACCTATTTCCATTAGCTTTGGGTCTCAGGGTGTGGTTCAGGAACCTCTGGGGATCCCCAAGACCCGTTCAGGGATCTCTGAAGCCAAAACTATCTTCATAATAATACTAATATATTATTTGCCTTTTTTATTCTTATTCTTTCATGAGTGTACAATGGAGTTTTCCAAGGGCTACATAATCTTTGATTACTCCAATGTTAACAGGTCATGGATTTATTATTTCTAGTGAATTAATAAATATTTTTAATGTTTTCATTTCTAACATGGGTACATTTTGATAGATATAGCCCACATAAAAACTGTTTGAGATCCTCAATAATTTTTAAGAGTTCCTAAGATCAAAATGTTTAAGAATTATTGCTGTTAGACAATGATTATCAATTAGGAGGAGGGTAGTATTGCCCCAGTGGGTGTTTGGAGATTTTTGAGGGAATTTTAGTTGCCATAATGACTGGGGAGCATACTGGTGTTTGGTAGCTGGGGTTGGGGATGCTAAATGTCCTGCATAATGAAAATTTACATAATGAAAATTTAATCCTGCATTTAAATATAGCTATTGATTTACGTTTAAAATCTGTTTCATGATTGTCTAAGCCTAGATTGCATCCTGAAATACATACTATTATTGATTCAAGCCTTGCAAATGGCTGCCATTTCACACAGTATACACCAAAGACCTTAAGATGGTGTCCAAGGCACTTAATTACCTTATTCCCCATTACTTCTCTGACATCTTCTACTAACCTTCCCATTGCACACCCTGCCCCAGTATCAGAGGCCTCAAGCACAGCAGGCTTTTGGTCTAGCTCTTTCTCTACCTGGATCACTTTTCTCCAGAAGTGTTTCTCTACTTTTCTCCACTTTTCTACTTGGCTACTCCTTTACCCCCTTCAGTTCTTTGCTCAGACCTCACCTTCTCAATGAGGCCCATTCTGACCACCCCAATTAAATCTATAAGCAGTGCCCCTCCTCTACCCTCTCCAAACCCCTTTTCTTACTCTATTTTTACCTGTTTTTTTTAATTAACACGTAGCACTCTCTAACATACAATATATCTAGTAACCATGTTCGGTATTTATTCTCTTTCTCCTCCATTCCCACTATAAGTAAATTTGAAGACAGCAGACACATTTCCCTTTTCTGTTCATATGGCCTGGCACATAATAAGCACTCAATAAATATTTGTTGAATAAGTCAATGTATGATTTTATTGTAAACAACTTTCTATTTAGTCCTCCTTTATAATACAGTTCTGGTATTATATTAAAATTTGAAATTGTGTGTCAGTCAGTTTTATTCCAGGATAGTAAAAAGGACATTACAAAATCTTCAATATGAAAAAAAAGTATTAGATCTAGTAGGTTGAAAGCCACAACTCTAGGGTGTCAATTTTCTTGCCATAATGAAATCTGCTTCATGACTCAGTGAGAAAAAAAGAAGTCTTATTATTATTATTCAGTCCCAGAATCAGACCCAGTGGGGACCTAGTTAAAGTGTGAGTTAATATAATTCTACCAATCAGATGTTTAAAATATGTTTAGGTCAGTTGATGGAAAAGGATAAGGCCAAAGCCCCATCTCCAGTGATAAAAGGAGGATGGAAGATGTCTTCAACATATGCTGCTTTCTGTTCTGGTGGACACGATGGAATTCCCTCAACTATAACATTATTATATGTTATGATTGAAATTCCAGTTTCTATAAGGGATAGATGGCAACCTTGATTATATTTTTTAAAGGATTAAAATATAGTTATTTCAAACTGTGGCAACTGAGAAAATTAAATGAAAGAACTTAATTTGTACAAGGTAGGCCCAAAATAAAAGGCCCCCATGGGTATGAATTGCTTTCCATGCTATTGAAAGCCTTCTGTGTTTTCAGACATGGCAACAAAGAGGTGGTCACTGGGTCCCCATACACACACATTTTTATAACACATCACATCCAGCAAACTGTGCTACTTGTCAGCAGCAAAATGACCCTGGACAAAGCCCACCACTGATGGATCAGGATTAACTCTATATTCCGGGAGCAAGAATATCATTCAGTATCTTTTGAGTCACTTTAATGCTCAAACCAGTAGTTTGTACAAACTGAAGTCATCCACTTGCCCACAAAACAGGTAGCAAGTGAGCAGGGGCGGTACAGACTTTCCCACAGTTCTTTATCAATATGTCAGTGTCGTGACCTCAAAGAGCAAGGACTAAGAGTGAGAGAGAATTAGCCAGTCAGTGCACCCCATTTAATCCTTGGTGCCGTTTTGAAGATTGCCAGAAAAGACGCCCATTGGAGACAATTCTGATGTTTGTTTTATTGTTGTAGAAATGGCTTTTCACCCCCAAAAAAGGATTGGGACAATAGAATATATGCTTTAAATTCTGTTATAGATTCTGTTTTATGAGTTAGGGTAAAAGAGTCTCTCAAGTGTTAATTCTCATGGGAGATTTAAAAAAAAACAAAGATCCATAGGAAAAAATAGCCCTTAGTATTTAACTAGATTATGGATAAAAGTATGAGTCTTCATGTAATATTTTTATGTATCTAGTTTATAGTAGTTAGGTAACACATATCTAGGTTTTTGTATTATAGAGACTATTAAAGGAATATACAAATACATTTAAGCAAAATATTCCTCATCGTAAAATGTCAGCCTACTTTTTATGTCATTATCCTTCACTTTTAAAAGCACTGTGATAGAGCTGTACAATCACCATAGATCACCAGAGTCATAGCCACTGGAAAAGTCTTTGCTTCCTTTCCCTCTTTATGTTCTGGAGTTATAGAATAGCATGCCTCCTTCTCCTTGCTCCTGTTGCACCCTTCACTTACCTTTATTACAGCCCTTACAACTCTGCCTCATAATTGTGTATTTACATGTCTATCATGTCCTCTAAACTGTGCATGCCTTGAGAGCTGGACTATGTCTTAATCATACTTATAATTCTGGGGTGAGCAGAGCAGCCACTCGATAAGTAATGAATGCTTCAAAAAGCATTCCTATTTCTCTCTAGAAAATTGTCAACATGGAAAATTGCCGTGTCCTCAAGGAACGCTGATTTCCTTCCTAGCTGTCATGGTGGTTAAAGCAATCAATCCCACAGCCCCTGCCCTCAACCAGCACTGCCACCATTTCTATTTTCTATCCAAACCAAATTCTCCAGTTTCTAGCATTGCTAGGGAGAGGGATTGACTCTTTTTAGCCAAAATAATGGGGCTTCAGGAAGAGCCATTTGATACCCACTGGTCTGCTTTAGTCTTGTGACAAAAATGAGTGAGAGAGAGAAAAATAGATTATATAATCTGTGTTCTCATATATTTAGGCTCTCAAAAATTATCAGAAACAAAATATCCCTCAACTTTGGATGCTGCCTTCATTCTTTGCACTTCTAGCCACACGGTATTGAATAAAAACATTACAGAGGACTTCTTTATACCACTGTCTGGAACTTTGCAGAATATAGTGCACTTTAGAGACATCAACTTCATCCTAGAATCAACCCCACAACCCAGGTACTCCCAGCAAGCAGAGCAGCCTATCAGAGGGCCTAAATGGAATGATAAAAGGATGAAAGGAAGGAATAATTAAGGAGATAATTAATGGTTAGGTCCATCACTAGTATTTCTCTGATTGGTTTTGTTTGTTTAAGTGGCAGATAATCAAAGCTGTAAAATTTAGGTCTGAAAAGCCAGTCATTTAAAGGATTATTTAGCAAACCAGATAAGCATATTAACTATGTGTAGTCACTTTTTAAAAATACAACTATAGTCCATGCTTTTTAGTGGTAAGTTTGCAGAATTTGATGTTGTACATTTACTAGTATTTTGGTTGAAATTGCTGTTAATTTTTAATTGCCCTTGAATCATGCAGTGACAGGAGGATACTTCCTAAATAAGTCAAACATAACATAGTGTGGAAAGACCTGATGTTAGCATCCATTAATGATAACTGTAAAAAGAGAACTTTTTAAAAGGAAAAGATGAATAGAAAAGTAAACATAAAATTGCCTGCTTTCTCCTTAACCTAAACTTTCCTCTTTGTCAGATTCTAGAAATATCTAGTCTGAGCACCTTGTTGAATGCTTATTCTCCTTGGAAAAAAAAAAAAAAGAACTGACTTGGCTAAGCTCAGTGAATTGTTTTTCAGCGTCAAATAATAATATGAGGGTATATTAGGTGATTAAATATTGACATCTGCAAATCCTGTTGATTTTCCCTTCAAAATATATCCAGAATCTAACCACGTTCCACCACCTAGATTATTGCAATTGCCTCCTAACTCTTCTTCCTACCCCTCCATTGTCCTTTCTCTACCTTATTTTCCAAATAGCAGCCATCAGAGCATGTCACTCCTCAAATCAAATCCCTCAAAACCTCCCCCATTAATGAGAGTTAAAGCCAAGTTTTTTCAGAGACCTGCCACTATCTCCAGACCTGTCTGTGTCACCTACTACCACCCCTCCAACCCCCCACCTGTCCAATCTCCCCAGAACATTCCTCCAGCCACACCGGCTTCCTGGATATTCCTGGAAATGCCTGGCACAGCCACTTCTCTGGTCTTTCCACTGTCGGTTCCTCTGGGTCACCCAAGACTCACCTCCTTCATTTCTTTGCCTGCATGTCACTGTCTTAGCACGACTTTCTCTGCAGCCCTTTTAAAAACTGCATATACATACCAACACTCCCTTTTACCTTTCCCATCTTTGTTTTTTCCCATAGTATTTATCACCTTCTAAGATACTATAAAATGTATTTCTTGTCTGTCTTCTTCTTCAATGTAAACTCCATGAAGTCAGGGATTTTTAAAAAATTGTTTAATTCACTGCTGTTTCCCCAACAAATAGAACACTGCCTGCTACATGGTAAGTAATAAATATTTGTTAGTTGATTGAACCGACAGTCAAAACATTACCCAGCATTTCCTATGCGTGTGACCTACTACCTACCTAAGATGTGGCACGCTTATATTGAAAGGTGTTGCCTAGTATCTTACATTTAACTCTATTTGGAAAACTATTTGAATCTGCCTGTTTATGCTTATATCTGAATTCCGTGGGAGAAAATAAAGTTGTTGATGTGCCACATAAAACCTATTGCTACGTGTTTTAATGAACAAAATATTCTTTTTTGAACACTATCTTCCATGGGGTGTGTGAGTTGAAAGTGAGGGTGGTAACATGTAGGCAAGAGGATAAAGACGATTGGAGGAAAAAAAGATAATACAGATCCTAAGCCAGAAGTACAATTTTCACCAGACCTTTAAGACTTCCAGTTCTCTATTCTTTATTTAAAATTGTTCCCAAGACCCAAAATTGAGAAGACTACCATGATGTTAAATTATGCAGTTATCCTGGGACATATAAGGCCACTGAACTAACACACACATATTAAATCTCTTTTTTAATATAAAGTTAATAAATTAAAGGTGAGTCAAAGTTTGTACAGCTCATTTTAAGAATTGCAATATGGAAAGTAAATACACTGCTGTATGGGAATACATAGCTTATCTGTCACTGATAGCTAATGAATTCCTTCCCATTAAAATTTAATAGAAAATCTTCAATGATATTTAAGCTTTTGCAGAAGTGTAAACTACTGTGACTACAATTCACAATGCATTTAAAACAATTATTCTTTATCATTAAAGTTAATAATATGCACATTAACCTCTTATGTAGTCTAAATCAATATTGTAGTTTAAAAGATATGACCTCTGGACAGCTTTGTCTAAATATTGATTTCATTGTCATTTGTATAAGGTATCAAACAAATTACATGCTGCACTAATATCATTAATGCTGGCCCCATAGAGCCTCTGACTTTATGGGTTCTTATAATACAGGGCATAACATTACAAAAATATTAAGGACTTCACAAAATGTAATTGCCGAAAGGATGAGATTTGAGTATGGCAGGACAGAGTTGTTATAAACAGATGATAATTTCTAAACCCTTTATTTTCAGTGAATAGAAAAAAAAAAAATACTGCTCTTTAACATGCATATTGGTTGTTGATGTTTAGTTTCAAATGGTAGATTTTTTTTCTGCCTCAGAGGGTCTAATTTACCTTCTTGTGATGTCATAGATATCTCAGAAGAAAGTAACTCAATCTTAGTCCAATTAAAATATTATAATTTTGCAATATAGTAGTTTTTCCTGAATAAATTTGATTAGAAATCCCTGTTACAAGTTAATAGTGAATCAGATGAGTTGAAAAAATATATGCCTTAGAGTGAAGGGGCTGAACTTTTCAAACGGCTCTTACAGATTTCTATAAAAACTGATTTAGGGATGGACATGCATCACATTCTCCATCATAATTGCCGGTTATAGAATTATTTTTGCTTTAAAAAATTGCAAATTGAAGTGCCAGCTATATAATTTTGTCTCTTTTACTTTTTTCAGGCTCTAAATTGCTATGAATCATAACAATTGCTAACATCAACCAGTTACATCTAACTCTATTTTGATGGTGGTTTCTTTTTTTAATTTTTAAAATTGTACTTCACTTTTTTGTTTACTATAAAACTTTTTGCAAAAGAGATATGGTCATGATCTTGACACTGTGAACTGTGGGTGCTATGTACACTAAAAATATTTACCAAAAATCTCTTGTAGGAAAAAGTGACCCATTTTGTGTGGTAGAACTGAACAACGATAGACTGCTAACACATACTGTCTACAAAAATCTCAATCCTGAGTGGAATAAAGTCTTCACGTTGTAAGTAGGCATTTCTTTGGGCTCTGAATCCAAAATTGTGTTAAATTTGATTTATTTTTGAGGGTTTTAAAAAAAATGTGTGTGTTTATTCTTAACTGATTCACAACTCAATGCATCTGGCCTGCCTTTGCTAACAACAATGAATTTTCCTCCTACCTTCCTGAAAGTGAAACCTGGGGGAAAGGGTATGGCATTTTTCTTTGTTTTCACAGACATTTTTTGAAACTGTGCTTTTTATATGATTTGGCTAAGGATTTTGCTTCCATTAACTGAATCACCATACCGCTTCTTCCTTTTATACTTTCTATTGAAATTCTTTCCAATTGCATTGACACCAAGGAAGACAAAGCTCTATTTGTTCCATTGCTGAAATCAGCAAACAATCCAGTCTCGAATTCGGCAGATGCTTTAGTTTTGGTTCTTTTCATTTTAGCACAATGAGAATATTAAGTATTGTCCTAGATACCAAAATACCCTATGAGTTAATTTTCCTTTTGTTTTAGAAAGTTTGTAAACCTTTTCAGTCATACACTGTAAAAGCTGCCAATGCTACACTATAGTAACTCCTAAGTTCGGTTTTTTAAACAGGGCTTTTGAAATGAACTCTGAACAAAGGAAAATTCTCCAAACAGAAGTACTTCTTTAAAGTTTTCTAACATAATTCTATTTTTTTGTATATGAAAAACTGCGAAATTCTTCATCAATTTATTATGTCTCTGCTTAAGAACCGGTAACTAATCAGCTTTAACTGTCTGGCCAATTTATTTTTAAGGAATTCCACATTTTTATAAGAGATAAAAGCCTGGTCAGGAGACTTGTACTCCTAAGAAGATTGCGGAGAGTGTTTTTCTCCAGAATGCGTAACTGAATGAATAGGTTTGATTATTATCAAAGCCATTAATTGATTGTGCCCTGATAAAGCCTCTCCTCACATATGGTTGCAATTTTTTCAGTAATGAATATATTCACTTTATTGTTTTCTCTTAATTCATGTTTTCTTGGTAAACAGTTTGATCAAAGAATAAATGCTGTCAACAATTTGCACTTATTTTCCAGAAATAAAAATATGAAGAGCTCACGCAGTCGTTTATTAACATATGTTGTCTTTGGAACATAATGGAACCCTGCTTAATTTCTAAATTCCAGGGTGGTACAATAACTATATGTTACATTTTCTCCATTCTGTTTTCTGTGCTTGTTAATTTTTACTATAAATCTAACAGAAACTACGTCGATGATCTAGTGAGAGCTATAAACAAACAGGAGATGTCCTATTATTATAAAAAAGAGTAATTACATAAAATATACTGTAACTTTTGCTGATATCAAACCTGGTGGTGTTTTATGTAGGGATAATGGGAAGGTATGAATTGTGATAATTAGAAGAAGGGAAAGTCTAAAAACCACCAGTGCTACTTCTTGATTTTTTAAATAACTTATTCTGTGCCCATTCAGATGGGAAATTATATTTCATTAAAAAATGATAACTTGAAATTACAAGGTGTTTAAAGTTACAGATAATAGAACCATCACTATAGTTGACTTAGGTGCATTATGGGAAATTCTGTCAGATACCAAGCTACCTTGTATATGTGTGTATGCAAATAGCATGCTTACAAACACACACAAAATCAGCTGGAGCTATCTAAATTTTCAAAACTATTCTTGTTGTTGTTTCCTACTGATGAAATCTTTTTTTCTTACATATATTTATTATGCAGCAACATTAAAGATATCCATTCAGTTCTTGAAGTGACAGTTTATGATGAAGATCGGGATCGAAGTGCTGACTTTCTGGGCAAAGTTGCTATACCATTGCTGTCTGTAAGTTTTATTCACCTGACACACTGTTCTGTGTTGCTTTTGCTCACGGAAAAAAAAAAAAAGAAAAGAAAACTCTCAGCTCTGTGTCTGTCATTTCTCAACCAAGGTCTGTAATAAGAACACTAAAAATTTTAACATACTCAATTCACGGCCATGTTGAATCCCATGATAGTTAATTTTTCCTGACAGACTTGATCCTGGTAATGAACAGGTACTTGTCAGAATTGCCACAGTTGTTTTGGGTTCTCTGTCAGTTTCAGCAGCTGGGGGTCAAAGGTCACTGAGGGAGTGTATTCAGTAGAGACCGCGAGACAGACGGCTGTCATGTCCTTTTCCCGCAGATTCAAAATGGTGAACAGAAAGCCTACGTCTTGAAAAACAAGCAGCTGACAGGGCCAACAAAGGGGGTCATCTATCTTGAAATAGATGTGATTTTTAATGCTGTAAGTCTTAACTTTGGCTTTTTTGTACTGCTAAAGAGTTCAGTTTCATGAAAGCTTTTGTTCCTGATTTGTAGAGAATTTCTGTCATTCCTCATTTTCTCTAAACCTTCATGTGTCCTGGAGAATACGCTTCTGCCACTGCCTGGCACACCCACACTTTCTGTTATAGTTGGCGAATGCTGCTGCGGTTGTGTTCTGGCCGCTGTCTACCGGCATAAGAAAGGGAAGCGCATGCATGTGCAACTGTATACATTTATATTTTATGAGCACAGCAGCCAGGACTTTGAAACTTTAGAAATTATTGCAAATTGAACTGCGTGAAAAACTTGTAAACATTTGTAATATATTAATCCATAACAGACACATATGTTGATGTATAGGTGAAAGCCAGCTTACGAACATTAATACCCAAAGAACAGAAGTACATTGAAGAGGAAAACAGACTCTCTAAACAGGTAAAAAGCAAGAAAAGATTAATCCCTCTGGGAAGACCTGATTATATCTGTAAAACATCTAAGTAAATTCAAATAAACTTTAAAGGTATGGAGGGGGGAAGACTGGAATTTTTGATCATCTACTTATTGAAAATGGCGCTTTCTTTCATTCTTTCTGATTCTTTCTTCCTTCCTTTCTTTAAAAGATCAAACGAGGACAATACCAAACTAATAAATTGGATGGGGGTGGTCAGAAAGGAAAGGGGATACTGTAGGTGATGCATATAATGGATATGTATTCATGCATTAGCAAAAGAATGATCATTTTGAACATAAAATGCAATTTGATTGCCATGGAATGTGTAAATGAGAACACCAAAAGCTGAGGTACAAATATATGTCCAGACCACCCACAGGTATGATGCAGGTGTGTGTAAAGCGAGCCCAGTATAAGCTCTTCCCTCTAATCCAGATGCGAGGAGGCTCCATCTTCTAAGGGAAACCTTCCTGCTAATTAGATTTTAACTATGATCTTTCAGAAGTAAACTTTTATTATTTTTAGCTAAGAAAGTTAGAATCAGGAAATATGATTTTTCTATCATGAAGGGAATTTAAATTGAGCGTGATATCTATTGCTTATAATTTTAAATTAGGCTTAATATTAAGTTTTTAAAAAGTGCTAAACCACCCCTTTTAAAAACGTTTACATCTGATTCACAGAACTAAACTAAAATGTATTTGTTACAGCTAAAATGTTTACTGAACATATTTATGCCTTGAAATATTTAATAATTTTTGTAATATTAGAAGCCTAAATATATTTTTACTCTTAATAAATCCAGCAAAACAATGGAGTATTTGGTGGTTTAAAGGAAGTGTGTGAGTTACAAATGCAATATCTAAGTAGAAATGTAAATAACATTTCACCACAATTATACATAAAAGTAATAAAAGTAGTTCTTAATGTAAGGTGATAGGGGCAAAGAAGGAAAACTAAGAGATAGACTCTACTTTGCCAGCAAGGAATTTCAATTTTAGCCACTTGTTAAAACTGGCATGCACATACATGTATGTATATTTGCCCATATATATATTTTTTCCATATGACCTCAGTAAACTTTACATAGCTACTTCCTTAAAATATCAGATCAGCGTTGAAGTATATTGGGAGTAGCAAAATGTTAACTTGCAGACATATAATTATTCTAATTATTAATATAGCTGTGGTAATTTTTCGAACCATCAAATTATACATGGGCTATTCTTTTTTACAGTTGTAGTCATGCCTTAATTTTAAATTTTAATTTCTAATTATATCAATTTTCCTATACTCGTTTTAATAAGAAATTTTGTAAAGCACTCGGTTACCATATATTTTTCCCTACTTCCAAAACTATGAAAAAATAATGAGAAAATATAGGTTAAATTTATTGTGAGAGAGATACAGATATAGATAGATAGAAGATAGATAGATAGATAGATAATATGATAGTAAGAATGGGAGGAATTCTACTAAAATGGTGAAGACATTTTGTTGTCTATAAAAAAGCAATTCTGGATAGGTTTTTCTATAAGACCCTAAATAAAAACATTCCAACTTCACTTTGAAATGTCTTGAAATTAAACCATTTGATCAATCTTAAAACCACAATAAGGTTTAAGAGTTTAAAATTAATAAAGGTGCATAGTATGTAAGTAACAAAAAAAAATTTTAGTCTGTTAGAAATTTTTTTTTCTTGTGAGCAAAGGTAGTCCAACCTACATGTTAACATTATTTTAAAAATTGTATTTAGTTAAAAAGGCAGTTCTTTCCACTTTCTCAGAAATAAATTCTTTAACTTGTGAGCCAAATTGTTTGGTATTTTCTTGTAACTTTATTAACTTTCTGAATCCTTTTTAAGTCACAATAAGCTTGAAGAATTTTGCAGTATATCTGATGGTTTTTAGTCTTGCAAATTATAATAATATTTTCATTTTCCTTACAGCTGCTACTAAGAAACTTTATCAGAATGAAACGTTGTGTCATGGTGCTGGTAAATGCTGCATACTACGTTAATAGTTGCTTTGATTGGGATTCACCCCCAAGGAGTCTCGCTGCTTTTGTGGTATGATCATACTGTATTACTTACATTGTTATTCATTAAATTCAGTAATCATAGCTGCATGTTTCTGTGGCTATAGTAACAGTTATGTTGATGTGGCCATTTTAAAACTCCTATTTTAAGACTTGACTGGACAGATTTGCCGTGGGCAGGAACCTGATGGATTGTACAAGGTCTGAGTCTAAGAATACATTTTCCCCCCTCAGATTTCCGGAACGCAAGACATCTCAGCCAATGTATCATTTTCTCTGTGACAGTTAAAAAGTAAAATTTTACATATTGCATAATTCCAAACCCCAATAGGACAGCCAAGAAAAGTCCTCCATGTGAAAAATAATAATAGTAATAATCTCGACCATTCTCAATTTGATTTTATCTGTCCTATAGTTAATTTTTTTCAAGATATGAAAATCATTGGTAGTAGAATGCTACCAATGCTACTTGGTAATGCTTTAACATGTGATTCAACTGGAAGTGGATGTGACCTATTTAAGAGATGTTTTATTATTTCTGAGATTTCTAGCTTTTAAAAGTCACAAGTGAGAATTCGATAGATCCAAAGAGTCCTTTAATATGTTCATCTTGTGGCCTTTTACTTTGATTATTTAAAAACTTCTGATGAGACCAACTGGCAGAGCTAGAAAATCCAAAAGAATACTTTGCTCTGAGCTTTAGCTGGGATTTTCTTCTCTCACATTATTTTGGCTTTTTCAGGATTTCAGTTTGAAGTTTAAGTAGAGTCATTCTTTTGAAATCCTTTATTTTATTTTCATGTTTGTTCAAATATGAGTACCTTATGCTTCCTTATAGTTGCCAGTTTAGCAGAATACGACTTTATTATGGGGGCTTACAAGAAGAGCCTTAATTATAGTAACAAATCAACATTTTAGTATTACCATTCAAATGAGTGTATGCACATCTGTTTAGTACTTTGAGCTCTGTCTTCCTCTCAGGCCTTGTATGGGACTTTCATTAATGTCTGAGCACATGGAACAAAGAGTGTCTACGTCCCTTTGTGTTGTAAGTTACCAGAAAGTTAGGCAGCCTGCTTCCCATAGACGTGTTGTTGTCTCCCTAAAGAAAGCAATTGTCATTATCGTTAAGTTTTAGAAAAAAAATCTCTCTCTCTCTGTCTCTCTCAGTATTCTTTTTGTAGCTCTTTCTTATAATAAATATATGGTGGTACTATTAAGCAAACTTTATTCTGATTTTTCCCTAGCCAGGAGGTACTTTTACATTGATGAGAAAAAATGATACTGAGCTTCTATGTCTATTTTAGACTATTACTTCCAGGTTTTATGGGGTCATATAACAGATGCAAAAAAAAATTGTCCTGTAAAGATCGTGCTGCCATTTTTGATTCACTCCTTCCAAAATCATTCCTCACAGCTATTTGTAAAATTTGAAAAGACCAGAAATGCATATAATTGTATTATTTGTTCAGCAACATTCATTTTGAACACTTTAGCATTTACGTGTATTGTGTAAGTCTTCATAAACTTCTGACTTCTGGAGGTCACTCGCGTAAAATGAAATTCAAGATGGCAGCCTTTTTTTTGCAATTTCCTTTTGATTCTAAAAAAAAAAAACTCAGGCACTGGAATTCTGAACAACTTAGGTACATTTACATGATATTACTTGAGTGATTTGACTGTAAGACTGTAAGGGGGTCAAATTTCACTGGAGAAGAAATGTAATAATAGTTCTCTTAGCTGGTAGTCAGTGTCTGATGGATTCAGTCCTGTGAAACACAAGCTGAATGCAAGAGGCTTGCAAAAAAAAAAAAAAAGAGGGAATCAGGCATAGTAAAGGTGGGAAGGGGCCTGCTGACACGGATGGTGAAAAAAGAGAACACAAACTACAATGTGAAAACAGAGTAAGAGTACTTTGGAGAAGAACCCATAATATTACCTGTGTTTCGCTGGAAAAAAGAAGCTCTGAATCACATTCTGTTGAATGTGATTAAAACAACTAATAACAAAATCAAATGTCATTTATTAGACCTGCACTGGGAGTTCTATAAGAATGGGAACCCTGCCTTTTTAGCCTAGTACTCCAGCTTCATCTGCACAGTATCTAGCACTTAGTAAGCTCCCAGTATAAATAGCTGACAGAATCAGTTGACCAATCTATGAACCAATCAGTTAATCTGAAATTTTTTCTTATGTGGAGAAACTCATTCTTCAATGATGCCAGATAAATAAGGGTTTGCTCTAAGGAAGCTAGTTATTAAATCATGATAAACATAGCTTAGTACTATTGTAGCAAATTTTCCTGGCGTTTCCATTTATATTCTAAACTACTTCATAATTCCTTATCAATCATTGATTCTAACCTCTGATTAAGTTCTAATATAAAAATATCCTTCCACAATAATGACAAAAACAACCACTAATATTTGTTAAGCACTTACTATGTGTCAAGGAACTGTTTTACATGCATTAGCGAATTTCATATTCCCAACAACCTTATGAAGTAGATAGTGTTAGTTTTCCAATATACAGAAGGAAGAAACTGAGGCACAGAAAGGTTAAGTAGCTTGCCCAAGGCCACACAGCAGATATTATTTCCTTTCTAAAAGAGCTTTTAAAATACATATACCTTGTAATTTTAATATCACAGCAGCTCTGAACAAAAACTACTTGGGATATTTATTCATCTTGTAGATATTAAGTTATATATTTAAAAATGAAATGTTTCAAAGATTTCATTGTATAACTAGAGACATTTTAGCCCTGTTTATTGAAAAGAACAGCTTTCCATTAGGAGAAGGGTGTGAGCAGTATCCCATTATTACAAACACATTGTTCCCATCATGCCCTGTTGATGGATCATGGGTCTATTATCATAATATCGGTTCTACTTGGCCCACTTTTTTATAAATGCCACTGCCTCACAGAGCACAGGCATTTCTATCATTATGTGGCTTGGTTTTAGGCCCAAGTCAGTAAACTTTATAATGTTTAAGTGCCTTTTTTCTATTCTATTTTAACTTTTCTTTTCTACTTTACTATCCAAAAATAAATGTAGAATAATGAAATAAAAGTAAAAAACAATCTTTTTTTTTTCTTAATCCCTATGTCAATTGAAGTAGAGAGCACAAGAAATGCAGGCTTAGGACAGCTCCAGCTTCCTTAACGCTACCTCTGTGCCACAGGGAAGAGTCAAAGCCAGCTGATGATATTAGAGACAGGCATTGGTCTGGAAGGTGATGGATAAAATATAAGCAGATACGTTTCTGGGCGTGTGCTTATTTTGTGTGCAATGCATTCGGTTTTAAAATTTTACTGTGAATATTGTCTGCCTAAGAATGAACACAGACATGTGTGGTGCAGAAGGCACTGCTCGTCTTGGGGAATCATCTATTGTAGACATGGAAATGTCTCATAAATTGGGCCTAATTTTCATCAGGCTCTTGACTAGACATTTGTGTTCTTGTGGATGTCAGTGGGTGCAACATGGGGGAAGAAAGAGTGCACATTTTCTCTTTCTTTTCAGTACTGTCATTTCTCACTGTAATGAGCACAAAAATAATTGGACAACTGAGCTATCAGTAAAAGGACACACTTCAGTGTGCGTCAAAGAATTATTTTACAGGACAAACTTTAATCTTTAAATGTGATTGTAGATAATTTGTGGTACCATCTGTCCATTTGGAATTGTTTTAGCCTTTTCTGTCGTTATACAGTAAGTGCTGCTGTGTTTAACATTAACATTTGATATTTTACACATTTAATTTCTGTTCTGCTGTGTAGTCCTTGGGGAACGGAGCGCTAGTGCTACATGAGAGAGACAAAGTATTGATCAGTTAACATTTCAGCTACATTTATGTATGTCGCAAAATTAATGAAAATGCCAGACAAAAATGTCAGAGTGCACAAAAAGGTAGAATTTAAATTTGGTACTTTAATGAAACATCTTAAGATGTGCATTATCAAAAATGTCCTCTTGCCTTTAAAGTACAATTCCTAACAGAATAACTAAAGGGAGATACATATTTTACTTAGAGGAACAATGAACATGAATTATGAAGGGATGTCAACTCCTCAAAGTACCTTGTGTTCCAAAAACGGCATGTTTGAATGTTTAACTGTTAGTCATAAAATACATTTCTTTCTGTTCATATCTGGAGGGCTACTGGCTTCAGCCCTCTGTCCTGAGCAGCCTACGAGGCAGGTTTCCTACTGAGATTCTCTCCCTAGGTTTTCCTTGGTATTCATGTGTTCCTTTTGTGTCAAAACCAAGAATTCCTTCTATGGCAATTCATCGAAGCCACTCTGGTTCATTATTTGTTTTTTTCTGGGTCCTTTTGAAATGCCTAGTTTTCCTTTGCTTCCAGATAATTTGTGCTCCACCTTTATTCAATCCCTATTTTAGTAAAGGATCATATTCGGGACAACAGTTACTCCCAGAAAGCTGGGCCATTATGCAGAAGAGAGAAAAAACAAAGATGTTGTATGCAAAGAATGACATGAGGCAGCTCTGTATAGCCAAATGATTAAAAAAAAAAAAGTGGAGGAAGCACAGCAAAGGAGGAGGAACTGGAGTTGCAGAGGCAATGGGAATGTAATAATGACCAAAGACAATAGGCTCCTACAGTACACTTATCATGTACTTCCTTCTCGTGCAGAAAGTCTGCTGCTATTAAACAACATATGGATTTTTAAAAAGTTATTACAAACCGTAAGGACATCTAAAGTGTCTTTCGTGATCAAGGATCAAAAAGGGAGAATTGCTTAAGAAGAAGTATCAATGTGAAAACAAAGGCATGTCTACATCACCTGTAGTTTAAGTCTTAATATTCACATTAAGGCACAATGAAATGTAGGATAATTACATTGAACATATTGAAGGTCACTTTAAGTTTATAACAGAAATATCTATTCTGAAAATTTAAGAGACAATAGTACTACCACAGCAATGAAATTACGCTTCAAGTCTATGGCAATTTTCAAATGATTTTTATAGAAGAGTTTTTGTTGTTATTGCTACAATTTTTTTTTAGCGCTAGCAGAAACGTTAGAAATGTTCTAGATGTAACTTTTGTTACTTTCTACACAACAGCAAAAGAGAAGTACTCCTGAAAACCAGAGAAACAAGTACAAAGCCAAAATGATCTACAATTGGTGGTCTTACTGTCATATTCATGAATTTCCCTAAAATTTTGTAAATATAAACTCCTAAGCCTTTTTGCCCATCTTTCTTCATGTATGTTTCCTCTGACATACACACCTACTAAGCTTACTAAACAATACTTCCAATTTAATCTATACAGATTTAGAAGCTACGTTAAACATTTTCTCACAAATGTGCAAGTAAGGGAAGAAGAAAACCTATATAAAATTTCACTGATTTAAAAGATATATATTTTTAAGGTTGCCCTAACTTCCTTTTGCAGAGTCAAGAAGTATTGACACTTAGAAGTTTCTCGTACCACAATTTTCTTTTCAGTAAATAGATTGTGCACCCAATTCATCTGGACATGCTAGTACATCAAATTGCTACTCAAAATATACATTTTCGCCCAATTTATCTCAACTCCGGAGAAGAAATTTTTTTCAAACATTGTCCAAAATTACATGAAAAATTGTAAATTAGGTTTTCCTAAGCATTGCCTTTCATAGTGCATTACATATAAATTCCTGCAATTATATAAAAGGCCCCCAAAGAGTATAAGGTACAAATGAGCTGGGTTTCAGGTTTGGTCACTATTGGCTAAAATCAACCCTGAATCTTAGGAAATATAGCAAGCCAGATAATAACAGAACCAAATATTTTCTGTAATCTTTCCTGAGGAGTGAGGCTCTAGTTCAGTTTGTGGGCCTATTTAATTGTGAAGTTATTTTTGTTTTGTTTTTGTATCTGCTAAGTCCACAGTGCAACACTTGGCTCAAATCAGTGCTTCATTCTCTTTAAATGATGCCAATGCCCTTTTTTGTTTATTTTAATAGATGTCAGCAAAAGGGCTTTCTGCTCTTTGGAGGGAGATAATCACATAAGCCACAGGGTCTGCTACTCTCTGAAAGGCGTATTTCTCCTAGATTTTATTTCATATTTACAAGAAGAAGAATTTAATCCCTGTAGAGGTCATTTTCTCATGAAATGAGGAAACTCATGTTTCCTATGATCGCTGCTCTTCCGCCTTTGTCCTGTAACGTGGAAAGTAGTAGAATGCTATAATTTTGAAAACTTTTCTTCTGTGAGTGATTTGAGGAAAAGAAAATGATTTCATTTTTTCTCAGGTATAGTGCTATTATGCTATGCTATAGTCAAAAAATTACAAATATCACCAGCATAATTATGATACCATATTGAATCTAAGAATTAGCTTTCTCATGTGCCTCAATGGTGCTATCAATAAAAGTTGGCGTGGTGGAGGACACCAAAGCCTCGGTGTGTTTTTCCTGGCTGTATGGATGCTGCCCCACTTCACTTCAAGCTTCCTCCTTGCATTACTTATCTGGTAGTTTCAGCCCCCCAGACCTTTATAAGACCCTTTAAAAATTGTTACATGGTCAATATTTTACAACTGAGTTGACTAAGGATCAAAAAATTATTAAATAATGAATCAGAGATGTCTCACTACCTGTTCCCAGATTCCTAAACCAATGTTCTTGTCTTCTGAAGGATTTTCTACTTTGCAATTGTGATTTCAATCGTAAAGGACAGACATGCTGAGCAAATTGGCAAGCCATATTCCATTGCAACATATTATGAAATAAAGTACTTTGCAAAGGAAAAAGTTTAAATAAATGATCTAATTATATAATTTATGTTAGTAAAATGTTGTAAAGTAGGAATAATAACTCTTCTGAAGGGTTGTAAATTATAACAGAGATTCAGTCATTAATATGCTTTAGTCATTAAGTTCACTCTCCATGTGTTTTCATTCCCCGTTCTATCAGGTAAAAATTAAGAAATAGGAGCAGAATGCTTTCTGTTGTCCAATTTTCCTGTGTTGACTAGATGTGCAGATATTCGTTACAATTATGAATGTGTTCGTTAATTTACCAAGCAAGAAGCTAACCTGAAATGTTAAGGAAGTTGTTCCCATTTTACTTTGCCCCTTCTCTTGCCATCATTTATCACATTTTAAATTGTAGTGAGAATTGGGATAGACACAGCAGGCTTTGCTACAGGTGGGTCTGTGAGTGATGACTCTGGTGCATCTTGTACTTTGCCGTGATGACAGAGGTCCAACACTCAGCAAGTGGTAACACTGAGAGATCAATAACAGAGTAGTCATCAGCTATTGGCTCAAATAGCTGAAATAACGAAGAGAAAATCAGAGAAAACTAAGAGGCAAGGAAAGACAGAAAGCATATCAAAGTGCAAATAGATATTTGGATTTGATAAATCAAAGTCAGCTCTCATTTTAAGGACAGGAATAAAATATTTTAGAGACAAAGTGTGGCCTTTATTTGATCTTAAATCAGTGTTTCTCTATATTTTTTTTTTCATAGTCACTGCCCTAAGGAGAAAAATTTCACTTGAGAGAAATTAAATACTAAGGGATAAGATTTTCTCAGGGGATATTGAGCTTTAGAGGGCCACAAACATCTAAGATTTCTGTTGCTTCCCCCCCGCCCCAGCTCAAGAACCAGTTTTTACCCCCTTGGATGTCACATTGACCCCACTGTGAATGCATGCTCCAAATGAGGGTTAATACAAGTTCAACTACATTTACTTTTATACTCTTGGTGGTAAAGTTTAGTTTGGATTTTCTGTAGTTCGCATATGATATGAATTATTCCCATACGGAACTTGTCTGGAGAAAGAGCATTTGTGATCTTTATGCAAAATTATTAACTATATTATAGTCCAATTAAAGGACAGGTGTTTGTTTGGCTTTATAGAGATCGAAGAATTTTATCTTCTCTCTTATGCAAACCCATATGAGGGTTTTCTTCTCTGTCCCAATTCCAAGGGTGCACTGTTGGAGAAGTCCAGAAGTCCACATGAATTTGGACTAAGTAAGATAACTTCTGTCATTATGAGGGTTTGATGGGTTTTATCCAGACATTGCACTGTATTTATAACTAATAGTTACTCTTTATATTTTTAATGAATATTATGTCAGAGATATAAACATATATTTCCTTAGGTTTCGTTACCTATTAGATCTTCATTGGAAGTGTTGGGGAAGGGAGAAAGGATTTATAATAGGAGAGTGATTTAAAACAGTGAAGATAATTGTTCTACTGGCTGTTTTGCATGGCAAGTTACCCAGTTCACCATAGGTCAAAAAAAATTTTACTATTGTCATTTACCAATAATATGTAAATATATTATGTTTTATATCCCATGTAGCTATATATAAATAATCTTAATGCATTTTCCATAGTTAAATCATTCTATACAGTTCCTGCCAAGCATGCTTCAGGCAACTCTAAATGTTCGAAACAAGAATTTTTCATCCAGTGTTGTCATAAAATGTCAGCAAATTAAACAATACTCCCCTTAGTCAATTAATCTTTTTGATTGAACTTAAAATAATAGATCACCAAGGTTAAAAGGAGTGCATTAATTACCACAAATTAATATACTGGTTGTATACGAGAAGTGTTATATTTTGACGTGATGTTAGTAGAGTGATGGGTAGCACTCAGAAAAGTAATTCATAAATGTAGAAGTTCAGATAGCTACATTTTCTTCTTCTAGTTAGGCAGCAACATTGAAAACTTAAAGAGTGTCAGTATGTATCTGGTTTTGTTTAAATTCTTTTCGTTTTGCTTTCATTATGTTTAATTAACACAAAATAATCGTACATATTTATGGCATATAGTGTGATATTTCCATACATGTATACAATGTGTAATGATAAAATCAGAGTAATTAGCATAAGCAGCACCTCGAACATTTATCATTTCTTTGTGTTGGGAACATTCAAAATCTTCTACCTATTTGAAAATATACAATAAGTTGTTGCTAATTATAGTCACCATATGCGGGTATTGAACACAAAACATATTCCTCCTATCTAGCTATACTTTTGTATGTGTTAACTTCTGGCTCTACCCTGTCCCCCACTGCCCTTCTCAGCTAAATTTTTTTAAATAGAGTTTTGTTCTTCTATGGCAAGAGCCTATTGCGTGCCTCAACCAAGAGGCTGGTATTTTAAGAGAGCCCTTTAACCTAGGTTCTACTAGCTTAACTGAGTGTGCACTTTTTCCTTCATTTTTTAATTCTCAGAGTATCAGACTTCTACCACAGTTTTATTTCTGTCTTAAATCTTGGCTGATATGTAGTTAAAATGGAATGTTTAACATATAGACTCCAAACCTCCAAACAAAATGTAGAGGTCTGTTTGGTAAGACAGATGCTTAGACCTTGGAACACATTTCTCCACAGTGGGAATGTCATAGATCATGACATAGAATCATGTACAAAGCCTACTAGCTGTAGAATGGAAACATCACATGGAGAAAGTAGATTCAGTGGAATCCTGGCTTGGTGTTTGGAATGCCAGAACACATCTAACCCAAACCCAGCTTCAGGATAGTGCACCTTCCTAATGCAAAGATAAGGAGCCTAAAAGGTGGAGATTGTGTGGGCTTTTAATGGTGCAGATGAAGTCATGGAATGGTACAACTGGAATGGAGGTTAGAGATTAT
This sequence comes from Homo sapiens, assembly GCF_000001405.40. NCBI lineage: Eukaryota > Metazoa > Chordata > Mammalia > Primates > Hominidae > Homo > Homo sapiens. The sequence continues at coordinate 94,858,721 of NC_000005.10, read as the reverse complement.
TTTACAGGACAGGAGACTGAAGTGTTAAGAGGTAAAATGACTTACTAACATAGTAACTCTCCTTTTCCCCCAATGACTAGTAATGGAAGCTTCAAAGACAGCAACAATGAGAAGAAAGGTGAAGTTTGTAAGTTAAATTGTCCTTAATTAAGGGAAGCCAGGTGTCTGACATTGTCCTGTAGAATTCCAAGAGTGTAAAATTGGACTCCTGGTCCTTGGTATTTCCTGTTAAGGAATGTATTGATCTGGGAAGGCTAGAATTGCCGACTTGATATAATAAGTCTGTATGCACCCTGCTTAGTGTTATTCCTGCAGTTTAAGTAATAAATGTGTACCTTATGTTTTGATGAACTTTTCTATTAGTGGAAATCACATCACACTATAGCTCCACAAAACACTGCAGAGATGTGTGTATGGTAATCACGAACTCTTGAAGAGTTCACTGTGTGTTTAAGTAAGGCATATTTTAGACAAGAAATATCATTTGGCCTCCAAGTAGTATAAATGACGCTTTTCCCAAAAGTAAATGTCGACTCATTAAGAATATATTTCCCAGGTTTCAAATATATATTTTCAGTGAGTTGCTTAAACAGCTTAAACTACCTATATTGATCTATATTGATTAAATGGTAGCTAAGATGAACCTGTCCGTGGCCTAAATTTTCATTAGACTAAATAAATGCCAGGAAAAAGTGTATGTATTTGAATTACTTAGAAAAACTGGTGACCCAGCTTCATTGTATCGCTGTCTTTCTAAATTGCCTTTAAAATTATATGGATCCAAATTATTCCAGCGTAAAATTAAACAACATAATGGAACAGCATATTCCTTTACAAAGTAGTGGCAGTACTGAAATAATAATTTGGGCATATTTTGAGATGATATTTGAATTTGGAAGGTGTTGCCCACTTTGTTATTTAAATTATGTGAGGTATAGTTTGCTATACATTTGGTGCACAGTTTTATTGTTATTGGAGATACTGGAGTGAAGAAAGATAAATCATCTGTATGAAATGCTTTGACATCCTTAAGCAGAAGGACCTGTGGATAATTTAGACTTGAATAATATTTGGCCACAACAACATAGGTTTCTGTTTCTGAGAACTACACAGTCCTTCAAAGTTTGTATCAGTATGAAAAAGTATTTAACTTAAAATTATTATTAGATAATATTCTAGACTGGATTTAAGAATAGGAGATAATTCACAAGAAAAAATGTTCCATCAGTGTTTGTCACAAATGCATGGCTCTCCAAAGGCACTGAAGGCATATTTAATAAGACTTGGGTTCTGTTTCTAATTGGCTGGAATGTATGACCTAAGTTTAAGGAACTAGAAAATACAACAGATTATAAACGGAAAAATGCCATTCATCAGTATTTTTAATCCATTACCAGAGCCAGTGACAGGAAATAAACTCAGGCTGTTCTGCTCAAGATGCATTTCACTTGCCATTAAGAGGACTTCCCTCGTTTTCATGCACACTCAATAAAGCTGTGTTGAGTGGCTGACTCAGATGACTTCAGCAGCAAAACTTGAAGTTAAAGCTATACTATTGTAAGAGAAACCCCCAACAGTAGTAGCAGATGAAGCTGAGAATAAATGTGGTGTATCAGGCATCATAAAAGGGTGAATGGGGGATACATTTATGTCCTCCTCTGTCTGCTGTGAGATCCATACATAAGATTCACACTCATTATTCTCATCATCTTAATGAGATCAGTGTGGGAACATCTCTCTCCTTTCTCTCTTGACTGTCAGAAATGGGTTATTCCATTATTTCTCCTTCCTCTCTCTGCTTTTAAGGGACTAGTTATATTTTCTTGAAAGGCCAGAAATGTTAACTGGTTGCAGCAGGCAGCCCCAGAGTGTTGCATATAAAGGCTTAAGGACTTTTGGTAGAGGCCACAACATTAGTCTCTCTCTTGCTCTTACTTTCTTTTTCTCTCAGAAATGCTTTTATTTCCTTTTTGACTTTTGTTATTTGCTGTATTTCCCAAGGTGTTTCCCTAGAAAATAAGAGAAAGGATAATTTATCCATCTTTCCTGTATAAAGTACCTGAGTAATACCTCTGATTGCTATCACCCTTCTCATCGGGTTTGCTGCTGTAATTATTTTTTTTTTACACAGTCTTCCTAAACCAAGTCTGAATGCAATTAGTTCACATGTCCATGCCATGCACAAGCCCAGCCTTGAACTCAAAGAGGTAAACTTGGCAAGAGACCAACTTCTAATGCATTTTATCCTCAAATAAATTTCCAGATATGTCAAGAAACAGTCAATGTTTACAATTAAAGCTGCTAAGAGATTTTTTTTATTGTGTTTGTAGATGGCGAATTTCCTTAATCCTCAAGGACAATAACCAGAAATTATGGAAATATGATTTAAGTGATCTAGGTCTATTGATGATTATATCGTAACCACACTGTTTTTGGAAATGCTTTCCTTTATAGAAGAGAAATGTTAGAGGATTCCCTTTAACATGATTGAAGAATTTTAGAGTAGGCATTTTTAATATTTGCTGCCCTCTTAATTATTACTTGTTTAATGCACCACTGTTAGCACAGGGATTATGAGTTAATAAAAATGTCATAGTGTTAGTGTATAAAACACTATATAATTTTCCCCAGGTAACGATTAACAGCATAAGGCTATATTAACAATATTCTTAGTGTACAGTTCCTAAATGTATTTGATTCTCATCTTTTAAAAAGTAATTTTACACTGAAATTCAGTAATAAAATATTGAGAGATTTAGTGAAGCTAGCTCATGGAAACTTCTTAGGTGTGTGAATTTTTTCCGGTGGTTTATATTATATTGTTATGTAAAATATCATTCTATTTTAAAATTAATCTGAGAGTTTTAAATGTTGTCTTAACATTCATCAGAGAAACGTTATTGAGATTCACAAAGAGCTTGTTTATCTCATCATGGTGTTTGTTAAAGCAGTTGAAAAATAACATTAACAAGCCATTAAGTCACGATTACGTCATGGTTTTGTTCACATAGATAATAGGTTTCCTTTTCCCTCTTTCTTCTTAAATAATGTCTTTCTGGCTTTGTTCCGGGGCTGCAGCAGGCTGTTAGTATGTATCTTTATACCATCAGAATGAATGAGATATATCTGTATAAATTATTGATTCACTTGAGCCTACCTCGGTAATTCAGAGCTGAAAACTCTGGCAGCTTATCTAATAGAATGATATAACTAGCAGACTGAAGTTACCTACCACAGCAACAATTGCCAGTTGGGGGGTCAAATGCCCTTTGACCTTTATACCTGAACACCTGCAAATTGAGCTGTATCCCATTCAGAATTTTAAGAACAGGTTCATTGTCACAGGAAGTAGAGTTTGTTTCTTGGAGAAAATTATGCCAGTTCTAGTTCTGAATGAAGGACAAGGCCTTTATTACTCAAGGGATATTAGGGCTGACTGCTTTTTTGAGAAAACAAATTTGCTGTAACTTTATCTGTAATTTAGTCCTGAATGGGTGCAAATAGACTGCACATTGTATGGAGCAGAAAGAAGAAAATAGGGGTTTGTTAAAGCCATGTAAGGGCTATGTAACCATTATATTTCCGAGGGAAGTCTTATCAGAGTTGCGGGTTATAAGGGGGAATATTTTGGTTACATCCTTAGTATCAAACACCTGTTTAGAGTTTTAGTTTAGAATGACATTGGAAAAGAACATTTTTCTGTCTGAAATTGTGGATGATGAAACACCCATCTCCTGAAAGTTACTAGGTAGGCTTTGACATGGAGACTGCCCCATCCAGAAACCACAGAAATGATTCAAGTCTCTACATGAGATTGAATGCTAGGCTTAGACCTAGTCGGACTATGTTGATTTGTTTCACTTTTATAGAAAATCAGATTCATAGCTTTATATACTCTTTCCAATTAAAAAATAAATCCTATGAAATATTATTTGCATAAGAATTTGATTTAAGCTTTGCCAATGCTGAAAGTAAGATGAATGTTTTGAGTAAGGGAGTAGAAAAAGCATACTTACCCTGATGAGCCTCCGGATCACACAGTATGGGGACTAATGGGTCATATATTTTTATTTATTTATTGGAGAAACTCATCCCTCAAGTTGGTCACCTACTCCTTAGTCAGCGAGCTCGGTAATTGTCATAGAAACACTCATTTTTACAGTGTTATAGTTGATCACTGACATGGAACCAGACTAGGTAATCAAACATCTTAGCCATATGCTTGTTCTAAGTTCCAACCTAGTCAATTAGCACATTTTCTATTAAAAACTTGGTTGTAATAGGTCTTCATTAGCCAGCAGTTGCCATAATTGAATAGTTACTCAATTATTCCATTCCCCAACCTCATTTTCACTTCTTGTCAGACTCTAAGTAGGAATATTTCCAAGAACATTCATGATCCCCACCTCAAGCAAAATTCATGACCCGTACCTCAAACAAGCTGTTAGAGGTTGATCCAGGTTTTAACATTTAATTTTTCTTACTGTGTTTTGGCGTATATAACTAGGCCCTGGGGCTCTCCTTTCTTTTGTTTATTTCATAATGTCTAGTGTTTCTTTACTGAGTAAGGAGGGAGAAATAATCTATGGTAAAGGCCCATTATGCAACAGATGAAGTGTCTCTAGAATGTGACTACTTTTCTATCCTTAAACCCATCCCATCTTCATCTTCCTCCAGTCCACCTCCCAGACACCTGTCTGGGCATGTCCTTATTCTGATATTACCTCCACTATCTGCATGATGGTCCCTGCCACCATCTGCCTGTGTCTACCACATTTCATGTCCACTGAAACTCACCTGTCCCTGCAACTTTCAGGCTGTCAGCTAGATAATCTGATGATCATATCTGTTATCCAGAGGCGGGAATAAGGCCACCCCTAAATAGCATGTGCACATTTTATCACTGGCCTTGTGGACAGAGTATTTCTCATTTCCTTAGGCATCCAAGTTCTTATGTACAAGCAGGTGTAAAAGGTTTTAATTGAGATATCAGAGAGCAAGTAGAGCAGTAGAGTAGCCCTCAGATAACACCAGGTAGGAAATTTCTGTTCCTAGCCACTCACAGTGGTGTCCTTCTTGATGAGAACTGTACCTCTTCCTTCATTATAAGATGATAAATATGAAACAACCTGGATGAGAATTTGTCAGAAGGGTTTTCTGAGCTGGGTAACCTCATTGCACCTTTCTCTATGCAATACAAAGTAAGCAAAAGCAGCTACCTGCCTAAGAAGTGTAACAAGCCACACTTGGCTTAAAAACACACAGTTGAACCTTGTCTGCATAATGAAACATCATAGCTGCAAATTTTCAGCCATCAGAATAGCACATGAAAAGAAAGGATAAAATCAAAGCCATACTAACATTCCTGCCACTGTCCATTCTCTGGAACACAGGAGAGTCCTTTCTAATGCATCCATCCTTGCTGACCAAGTCTTTGTGATTTAGATTTGTAGGCTGAATTCAATGTAAGAATATAAATTGTTTCAAGGATGACAGATTACAACTGGTTTCTCTCCCCCGCCCTACCTACCCACAACCCTCGTGTTCACCTTTATAACAATTTTTTTTTCCCAAAAGTAATGTGGTTTAAAAATCATTTTAAGTTGCCCAACATAAATGATAAAATCAAATATTGGATTCACAAACAATAGCCTTTATTGGTTTGTGACAAGTGATCCATCTTTTTACATTACTGCAGCTTTCTGAACCAGATTATTTTTCATAATTGATAATTTGTGAGTCATATATTTGTTATCTGTTCTTTTATGGCTTTGAAAATAGTGAACAATGCCAAAGATCACGAAGCTTTTATAAAGAAAATTATTTTAGTGTGGTTTATTGCCTGGCATTTTCTGAAAGTATGTTACCAATAAGTTTTGCAGAGAATGTAACAAAGATAAAAGTAACATCCCTTGCTAGAAAGAGACCTGATAGGTCTAGAATTCATACTGATAATAGGAATTTAGTTTTAGGAATTGTTCATATTTAGCATGAGAACAACAAAAATAGATACATTTTAAAAATGTTAAATATAGTCTGCAAGCTAAGAAAAATAGTTTTGTTACATATATGGGCAATTTTCCCAATACCTTGCTATGAGCATTAAAATTACGCCAACAGAATAATGACACTATTTTTCACAGTCAATAATTTTCATTGATTTTGATAGATAGCCTTAGGATAAGTATCCACCAACTATAATACAATTTTTTTCTTATTCAGTTTTATATTTTGTTCCTAAAACATCTAAAATGCAGTAGGAAAATTCTTACCCCTTGTTATGGTTTATAATTATGCTATGGGTAGAATTAAGGGCTACACATGAATTTATTTGCCCCAGCTAAATAATAATAAGGTCTTTAAAATCTCTGTTGCCTAAGAGGGCAATATAAAAAACTTTTTACCCTTAATTAATAATTCTCTCACACACTCTAAACATTTTCACTAATTCTGTTCACAGTTTTACTGACTGAACAAAATATGAATCCATTGGAAAAGTAACAATATAATTTACTCAGAACTATATGGGAACAAAAGTATTTTTAGATGAATTAAATATTAATTTCACAGAAAACTTTAAAATCTGCTTTTCAAAGTTTCAACTATGAATCTGCTTTTACAAATTATATTGTACTTTTTTCAATCTTTCTTAAAATTTTGGCTGAACAATTTAATTATAGAGAACCATTTCTATGAAAAAGATCACCTCCTTAATTAAAATAAAATTAAGATCATTAATCATTGCCTAATTATATTATGATATGTACAATTAAACACCATATATAAAACATTTACTCTTCATGAGACTGCAATAGTAGGGAAAGAAAACACCTGTAGGTTAATACCTTCACTCCTACTTCTAAACATATGGATTCTATTACACACATTTATTACATCACCTAATTGCTTCAAATTCATACTTCAGTTGAGGGAAATGCTGAACAATGTACAGTTGTCTATAAATCAGAATAAACTCGCATATTTATTTCTAATAAATGCCTTTTCTTTGACGATTTTGTTATGTGTGACCTCTTTAACTGAATTTCATCTAAGATTCTTCTAAATATATCAAAAATATAATTAAAAGGTTTATTATTCAAAACGAAAATCAAGTAGAAGAATAGTATTCTTTCCTTATGCAACCTGAGCATGTGCTAAATTGTGTTTAAAATTAAGGATGTGTGGAACATCTTTATCAGATAGGCAAACAGAATGTTTAAACTGTATAAATAGCAATATTAAAGATGGGTAACTTTCCTTTATGCATGCCTTTAAAAATGTTGCCAGTGTGATTTAGCATCTCTAACACTGTGAAGAAGAATTTGCTCTACCTTTTCAGATGTTGTGTTGGCCTCATTTGTGGCATGTGCAGTGATAGTGGGATATGTTTATTTGTGCATATGGAGTGACAGATTGTTGATGTGTTTTAACCATAATATATTATTCAGTTTTGAAACCTACTCTCTTTAGAGTTGGAATTTCTTTATAATTGAAGGGAAAATGCATTTCTAATAACTTGCCTTATAGTTTTAAAGATCTGCATTTTTAAACTGACTCAGCATATTTCATAAAATGTGGGCTGTTTTATAGATTAGTGAGAATTCAGTGTTAATTCGATGTATTTTTGCCAGTGAAAATCAGATTCCTTTATTGTAAGATGGACTAGTATCTGTGCTTCTGAACTGAAGTATTCAATATTTTCTTAAAGAAGAAATAGTTTAAAAATATATTACCTCTAAATTACTCTAAATATTGAATGTAGATAGTTCTGAACAAATAAATTTTGAAAGCTATGTGGAGTCAGGGATTATGTAGTATACACTGTACCCTTCCCCCACAAGGTTTGTTCAAACCACGGAAACTAATTCCAAATTTTGTGATTGATCACTCTACCAAAAACAATTAAAATGATCAGTATTAGTTCTATGTAGAATTTATATGGAGAATCTGCAGAGATTTAGAGGTATTATAATACATTATTGAGAGAGAAACGTTTCCCCTTCAGAAAAGCAATGTACATTATTCAGAAAGAAAAGAAACCTTCAAAAGATAAAGAGGGAAACAATGCAAAACTCTGAAACTAGATTGTAGTTTTAAAACAAAAGCTGTCAATCCATGTCCCAGTGTGCAGTGTGCAGTCTTTACATGTTCCCGGGCTTAGCTGCTTGTCAGTAAATAACTTACATGCCATTATATAAAATTGTTTACCTGTTTTCCCCCTCCATGCTAATTGTCTTGTATGTCATTCTGCAGTTTAGCCTGTAGGTAGCAATCTTGCACCACAGAAGCTCTCCATTTACTCGCTTGCAGTGGAAAAGCTTACACCATTACAGATCTGTTAAATGTAAGCAGTGTTATTTGCATAAATTCCAGACTTTGATGATGGTCTGTGATCTTTGTAGCCTACCGATTACTTATGCAGTTTTTGGGCCTTAAAGTTCACGATTTTGCTCAGAGGTGACTTTACTTTGCATTGTGACCCCATATAGGTGGGAGACCGCAGAACGGTTGGGTGCATACCCTGGAATCTTGAAAATCATGAGGCCTCTTTCTGAAATGTAATGCTTTGTTTCTCATACAGCCATTCGGATTTATTTTTTAATCCACAAATCTTCTAAAATAGAGAATAACATTTTAGTACTTATGTAGCAAAGATTACAAAAGCCGTGCTTCTGAAGTCAGTTACCCTCTCACATGCAATGAGGTCATGCTGTTACCATCTCGGATCCTTTGCCAGCTTAGACCTATTTAATCTTACTTCTGTGAAGAATAATTAAAAGCCAAAAGGACCAGCATTGTTTTTGTGACTAGTTATATTCAAATAATTACTGCAAAGTGCCATTGCTTATGTATTTTTTAAATGGCAAAGAATTTCCTTCTTTTTTTTGCAGCAGTTTTTTGGAATTATTGACAGCATTGTATTAAACAATTGCAGAGCCTGTGTTCCATACCAAAAAGCACCTTTATTTCTAATTCATGGGTTGAAAATAGTACATGTTTTTAGGACTATAACTTTTGATGTATTTCAGAAAGCTGGTCCTCTTTTTGTTAACATGGCTATCTGTCCAATTTTGATCCACTTTTGTTCCTTCATTCTTTCCTTTAACCCCATCGACCGTGTACCTACTCAGCTGCCAGGCACTGCTCTAGATTGGGACGCTAAATTGCTTACTACCTGCCCCCTGTGAGACAGAGATGGAGGCAGGCTACAGAGGAGAGGAGACACTTGAGCTGGGCCCTAGAGGATGAATAGGAGTTAGATGGTAAACAATGGTAAACAAACATTTTAGGCAGAAGAAATAAACGGCACATATTTATTCATTAGTCCTACTAGAAAAGGTCTAATTAGCACCCAAATAATAGTCACTTCCAGAATAAAGTATCTGTTTTGTTCTATTAACGTGTTATTACTATTGAAATACCAATTAATAAAGTACCTATGAAAAAGTTTATATTTTATTATAATCATATGTTACTAAAGAAGGAAATAGATTTTAATTACACTAAAATCCTATCAATATATTTTAATTCACACCGATGAGTGTCTAATTCCATTATATTTTTGTGGAGTTCAAAAAAATTATAAACTCCCATTCCTGCATATATTCGTTTGCTACCAAAGAACCCACTGGATTTTTAGAAAATTGAGCCTTGTTTATTTCAGGAATCCTTTGAACAAATTGTTTCTGAATGATTGTATTTTTTAATATGGAAGATCATATTTTATATTAAATTATACTAATAAGAGGGAAAGGAACTAACCTTTTATCAAAACTATGTCAACATATTTCAAATTGTTAGTATTTTAAGTTTCAGGTGTTGACATACAATTTCTTGAACAGTGGGATAATTTCTACAAAATAAGATGCACTGTATTACTAATTTACTGACAGATTATTTATTGGCAATAAATAAATATTAAGATAAATTATTTAATTGTAAAATAAAGTGTTTTATTTATTGCCAATAAATTAGCAATACAGTGCATCTTATTTTGCAGAAATTATCCCACAGTTCAAGAAATTGTATGTCATCAGCAACCACCTTTGTCAATAAAACTTCAACTAATTACTTTTCTGAAATTTGAAATTAATTCAATCATCATAAGGAACTTATGTCTGTTATTGCATTTGGAACCCGTCATGCCTACTTCTTATAATACCTGTGAAAGTTACAGAGTGCAATTTCAGGAACAAGAAGAGCTTATTGTTTGTGAGGAGTAAGTAGGCTTTGATTCCATGGATCAGTAGTTATTAAAGCTGCAGCTGGCTCACAACAAATATTCACATCTTAAGTGGTTAGATAGAGAAGGCATTTTCTCGGAGGGTGACCCCCAAGGCTGTAGGGTAAGGGGAAAGCTCAGAAATAAGTAACTTGAGTGACTTGGAGGTTTTGAAGAGTCTGGCAGACACTGTGACAAGAAAGCTAACTTTAATGGGGAAAGACGCTTCTTTATTTCTTAATGTTACACATTTGATTTTAGATATTTATTTTTACAAGACATTCTGGTGATAAAACTCAATGACATATTCCTTTATTAAGTGTAGCTGATTTACATGTTGGTTATAATCAGATTCAGGAATAGTTTTAGATCATTATTTTTTTAGTTTGCTCTTTTCAACTCTGAAAATGTTCTTTCTATTAGCTACAAATGTAGATCATCTGTCAGCCCTCCTCTCCACCTGCTCACCACCCCCTCCCCAAACCAAGGCTTAGGAGGATACCAAGCAGGTGAAGGACCTGCAGTCTCAAGAGATCAGTCTTATCTGAGCTAAATGACGCTGAAGTTGCAGATGAAAACAGAAGAGTGGAAAACAGGTGCTTGAGCAGGTGGGTTTGTGATCTTTTGCCATTACACTGGTTCTCATAGTTTTAGATAATCGTAAGAAGTAACAGAGTTTCCTCTGTTACAGAAACATCTGGGGCATCCTCACAACAGGAATTGACACTGAGGGGTGATGAACTTGATTTGGTGGGGATATTTCCCTCTCTCTCAAATTTACACCCCCAACATACATATATATATATATATATATATACACACACACACACACACACACACACACACACACACAGATTGCTGCTTCTTAATATGATCAGTAAAGATTTTTACCCCCTCCTACATCTCCCCAGATCCCTTCTTTTGTGTGGGAGACAGACAAAAGGCAAAGAATCCATCTTTGTTCTCTGTCAAGCCTCAGAGATCCCATTTCCAGAGAACTGAGATAGATACGTCTCAGAGCTAAGTAAAACATCGGAAATTTGACCTTTTATTTTTTCATTTTCTCGGGAGATGTAGAAATACTCTTAGAAACAGAAGTATAGAAAAAGACTTAGAGCAGGTACTGCATAGGAAGATCAACTTTGTCTCTTTTTTAACAGCTAAAAGAATAAATGTGTTCCACTTCTGAGAAACGAATAATTGTTGCATTGATTAGTCAGAACGTAAGAGCCAGCTGCTTGGCAGAGCGCATGGAACTCTGAATAAGTTCTTAGAACAGTGCTTCTCAGCCTTTGATGTACATACATATCACCTGGGGATCCTGTTACAAGGCAGAGTGTAATTCAGTAGGAGAAGGGTAAAGTTTCTAGGTGATGCTGATGCTGTTTTATTAGAAAACAAAATGTCAGAGGTCTAACACATAGGTTCGCAAATTTTAGCATGATTCAGAATCACCTGGAATGCTCTTAGGAGCACAGAAATCTGGGCCCTGCTTCCCAAGTTTTCTGATGCTGTAGGGTGGGAATGGGAATTGTTTGCATTTCTAACAAGCTTTCAAGTGATGCTGCTGATGCTGGTCCATGGAACATATTTTGAGAACCACTGTTCACTCTACTGGATGCTCATTTGAATTATCAAGGGTGCTTTAGAAGACCACACACACACACACACACACACACACAGACACACACAGAGACACACATGTACGGAGACACACACATACCAGAGACACACACAGAGAATGCAGTGTCTGCCCCTCAATGATTCCGGTTTAATTGGTCTTGGATAGGGCAGAGGCATGGTGACTCAAATCCAACTCTCTTCAGGTTATTCTTTTTTAAAAAACGTTTATGTTTAGGGTGACGTGTAGGTTTGTTATTATAGGTAAACTGCATGTCACAGGGTTTTGGTATACAGATAATTCCATTACCCAGGTAGTAAGCATAGCACCTGATAGGTATTTTTTCTGATCCTTTCGCTCCTCCTATTCTCCATTTTCACATAGGCCCCAGTGTGTGTTGTTTCCCTCCCTGTGTCCACGTGTTCTTGTTGTTCAGCTCCCACTTACAAGTGAGAACATGTGGTGCTTGTTTTTTTTGTTTCTTTGTTAGTTTGCTGAGGATAATGGCCTCCAGCTCCATCCATGTTGCTTCAGAGGACCTGATCTCATTCTTTGTATGGATGCGTAGTATTCCATGCTGTGTATGTACTATATTTTCTTTATCCAGTCTACTGTTGATGGGCATTTAGGTTGATTCCATGTCTTTGCTATTGTAAACAGTGCTGCAATGAGCATACATGTGCATATGTCTCTATGATAGAATGATTTATATTTCTTTGGGTATATACCCAATAGTGGGATTACTGGGCCGAATAGCCAATTCTGTTTTAAGTTCTTTGAGGAATTGCCACACTGCTTTCCATGATAGCTGAACTAATTTACACTCCCACCAGCAGTATATAAGCATTCCCTTTCCTCCACAACCTAACCAGCATCTGTTATTTTTTGACTTTTCAGTAATAGCCATTCTGACTGGTGTGAGATGGTATCTCACTGTGGTTTTGATTTGCATTTCTCTAATGATTAGTGATGTTGAGCATTTTCTCATATGCTTCTTGGCCACATGCTTTTAAAAAGTGTCTGTTTGCAGCTGGGTGTGGTGCTCACCCCTGAAATGCCAGCACTTTGGAAGGCCAAGGAGGGTTGGTCACCTGGCCCCAGGAGTTTGAGATCAGCCTGGGCAACATAGCAAAACCCTGTCTCTACAAAAAAATACAAAAATTAGCTGGGCATGGTGGTGCGTACCTGTACCTGTAATCTCAGCTACTCAAGAGACTGAGGTGGGAGAATTGTTTGAGCCCAGGAAGGGGAGGTTGCAGTGAGCTGAGATCATGCCATTGCACTCCAGCCTGGGTGACAGAGTGAGACCCTGTCTCAAAAACAAACAAACAAAAAAACAAAAAAAAATGTTCATGTCCTTTGCCCACTTTTTAATCTGGTTGTGATATGGTTTTGCTGTGTCCCCACACAAATCTCATCTTAAATTGTAGCTCCCATAATCCCCACGTGTCTTGGAGACAGTGGGAAGTAATTGAATCATGGGGCCCGGTTTTCCCATGGTGTCCTCGTGATAGTGAATAAGTGTCACAAGATCTGATGGTTTTATAAAGGGCAGTTTCTCTGCACACGCTCTTTTGCCTGCTGCCACGTAAGATGTGACGTTGCTCTTCCTTCACCTTCTACCATGATTGTGAGGCCTCCCTAGCAGTGTGGAACTTTCAGTCCATTAAACCTCTTTTTCTTTATAAACTACCCAGTCTTGGGTATATCTTCATAGCAGTATGAATATGGACTAATACAGGTTGCTTTTTGCTTATATATTTAAGTTCCTTATAGATTCTGGATATTCGATCTTTTGTCAGATATATAGTTTGCAAATATTTTCTACCATTCTGTACGTTGTCTGTTTATTCTGTTGATAGTTTGTTTTGTTGTGCAGAAGCTCTTTAGTTTAATCAAGTTCTATTTGTCAATTTTTGTTTTTGTGCCCTCAGGTTATTCTAATGTGAAGTCAAACTAGAGGGCCTACTGGGTTTCTTCCAGGAAAGAATGTATAGCAAATTGGAAAAGGAAAAACAGAATAAAGAGAGGGAAGGAAAAGAAAAAAAGAGAAGGAGACAGTCTCAAAAGATGGAAAAAAGAAACCAGAAATTGGTGTGGGAGGAAGGGAAAGAAATAGTGAAGATCTATTTTTAGAAAATCATCAATATAAAGTAAAACTTGTGAGTGCAAGAGGTTCAGAAAAGTGTTCCTACAGCCAGCAGTTGGGGAGCTGCTGGGTTCCGTTGAGGCTGACATCCTGATGCCCTTCATTCCTTCTTACTCTTTCATTGCCTCCTGCATGACTCTCTACCTCCACAAGCCCAGAAAGAAAAGCAGGCTCTTAAAGGAGCACTCACAGGTTTTATTACTCTTAGAGTGGATGAGTGTAGCTGTAGAAGTAAATTAATAAAATGAATACAAATGAAATGTCCACGTTTGTTGAAAAAAATGTAAATTTCCTTAACTCTCCAACTCCTTCTTTTAAAGAATGAAAATGGAAAGCCTTGTCAGTTCCCATCACTGAAATAAAATATAAGAGGAGGGTGGCTGCCTTTCTTTTTTTCTTTTTCTTTTCTTTTTTTTTTTTTTTTTTTTGAGACAGAGTCTCACTCTGTCGCCCAGGCTGGAGTGCAATGGCGCGATCTCGGCTCACTGCAACCTTTGCCTCTGCCTTCAAGTGATTCTCCTGCCTCAGCCTCCCAAGTAGCTGGGATTACAGGCATCCGCCACTACACCCTGCTAAGTTTTGTATTTTTAGTAGAGACAGGGTTTCACCATGTTAGTCAGGCTGGTCAAGAACTCCTGACCGCAGGTGATCCATCCGCCTCTGCCTCCCAAAGTGTTGAGATTACAGGCATGAGCCACCGCACCCGGCCAAGGGTGTCCTTTCACAGTCCTTTTTGGTACTTGGTGTCTATTCTACAGCCTGAGCAGCTGCTTCCAGCTAATCTACTGGAACATTTAGAGACATAGCAAAAACAAAACAAAAAACTACATTATTTTTGCAAAAACACAACCTTTCTCTCTACCTAATAAATCAGTCAATTCTCCTTATTCAGATGCACTGGTCCCAAATTGCAAATTCCCAGACCCCATGAACTCTTCTCTACTATTGTGTCCAGTTCAAAGCAATCTCTTACTTGCATTTATGTGACACTTCTGAACTTTTGTGTCTTTAGCTTTAGTATTGACTATTTTGTTAGTGCTCTTCTTTTCTACATAAACCACTCTAAAATTCTTATAAAGAGACACAACTAATGGCCTCCAAAACATTGTTAACAATTCATTGTTTTTTTGAAAGATGTTTAAAATAAAACCTCACTAATTAGAACCAACCTTGAGGGAAAGCCTATTATCTAACCCCAACCTAACTTCCTAACCTTGTGTCTTACGTACACTCCTTTCTTATCCCACCCATGTATTCCATCTTCTAGGCCAGAGTTAGCAGACAAATCGCCTACATCCCATCACCTCTGATGCCCTTTCTTGTGGCAGACATTGTAAACTGATCACAACATATGTGTTTATACACATACACACGATTGTAATCCTCAAAAAACCACTCTATGTACCCATTACCAGTTGTTCAGAGTTGATTCTCAAGCTGTACTTGTTTGCCATTCCCTAATTCTTTGTGAACGTGTCTGTCTTCCCTTCTGAGTTTGAGCCTTTAAAGGATGGAGAACAGGTTGCATTTGTTAATTCTACTCAGGATGTGGTAGAGGGCTTTGTATGTATAGCAAATTGTCAATGTCGATGAATTTTTGTTAAATTTTATCTTGTAGGCCAGTCTAGACTGATAAAAAATATATTTCATAGAATTTTTTATATATAAGCTTTATCTTTCATCCAATGGAAAGCATAATATAGCCAAGTGGAATCACTTGGAATCAAGAATGTTTTCTCATTGTTTTTAATATTAATGGTATCATTAAAATAAGAGAGTTTTCACATCCAAAGCAAATACTCTGTCCCCTGAAATCCTTTTTATGTTATTATAATTTTCTTTAGCAAACCCTTTTATCAGGGCAAAAAATCAATTGCAGCTTCTCTAAATTTTCACAAAGCCTGATTAATAAAGTTTTCACTAATGGTCTTTTCTATATTATTTCTATCATGTTTCAGTAATAAAAAGCAGGTTGCTAAAACCACTTTATATACTCAGTTGTGATATCCTACTGTCATGATTAGTAGATATATTGTTTATTCATAAGATAGCATGCATCACATTCACTTTGAGGAAGAACATTCTAAAATAGTTGGATTTGCTCTATCTTTATCATATTGCAAAGATAAGAGGAAGGAATTGCTTGTGGCCCTTTGTTCCTTGATGATTTTTTCCCCAAACATATTACTAATTAATAACTTTGCTGAAAATCTAAATAAATCAGAAAGATGAAATAAAATGAGACATAGACAAGAAAAGATTGTTGTTGTTTTTTAGATGACACAATCCATATGTTAGCATTTAAAGAAGAGCTTGTTTGCTTATGAAGTGAAACATGCCCTTTTTCATAGTCACAATCTATAGACCCAGTATGTGTGTGTGTAATTTTGATGTGGAAGGAAACATAAAATCAAGTAAGAAGCTTTCTTTGCTGGAATACTAATAGTCTCTCAATAAGTTTCCCTAATGTCTACAGGGGGAAAAAAAGACCTTAGCACCTTTTAATTTTGCAGCTGTTTTTACACTTTTATTTCCTCTTCTTTCCTCTCACATTTACACAAAAACCTTCTCAAGTCTCTTTTAAGCACTGCAGCAACTAAATCAATCCTAAGTGGCAACCACTTCTAACAGCGTTGCGTATGACTGTGTGTTAATTAGCTCCAGTAGATTATCCCCTGGTGTGTGGTGGGGTGTTGGTGGGAACTTTTCAATGTGCAGAGAGTGCTAAGGGTTTCATGTTTATTTTCATGTACTGAGGCAAATTCTCAGGATGTCTTCAAATTATCTCCTTGGGGGTGTTTTTCCTGAGCTAATCCTGACAGAATCTTTCTATCAGATATGCCCATCATCAAGAACAGTAGAACGGTGCACATACAGGAACCTCTGTGCTCGGGGCTGTATGCAAATTTAATGCCCAGCTCATTTCTGTTTCTCTTACATGGATGACAGACATTTTAACAATGTGTTCCACATTCCCCTCTGGGAATCTAGTTGGATTCCTGAATGTATATGAGTGCATATATACATCCATTCAGAATGTGTTTTTGAATACAATGTGGGGAACATATATGCATAAAAATGTATCTATATATGTATATATAAGCACATTTATTATGAGTAATGTGGATATTGGGATGCATATGTGAAGATGGGAGTCAAGCTGCTGTTGATCAGAGATGTGTCTACATCCCAGGGAGACTAATCAGCTGCTGAAAAATGGATAGGGTAGAAGAACTGATAAACAAATCTATTCTGAATATAATTCCACAGTGTTTGGGGTGGGAGTTGTGCCACTATGAAATGGTAAGTAGCAACAGCATAGAAAAATCAGCTTTGTTTTTCAGCTGGCTTTAATGGAAAAAATTATATCCTAAGAACTTTTCCAATCGAAATGCCAATCTTCATGATTGACCATAAATTTGTGACTGAAGTTACCTTTGCTATCCTTGTATCCGAGATTGTCAACATAAGTACTTTCTTGGCAACACCATTGTTTTATTTTCAGTGGCACCTTTCTGTCCTGGGGATATGCCTTTCTATTCCTGTTTCCGTTCCCTGGGTGGACTGGGCTGGCAACCCTAGAAGTACAAGGGAAGGGCACACCTACTCGTCACCTTTAAGCCTCGGTCACATGCCAAGCAGCCAGCTCTATGCTTTTCTATCTCCTTTGGCACCCCAGTGTCAAAGATGCTGCCCACATTGAGTACTTACTCTGTGCCAAGTATTTAGCTGCTCTATATGAAATGGCCAAGTGGCCACTAAGGGTGGTATGTTCCATCAACAATTTCCCTTCCTCACCTTCCCCCCACCCCAAAATCCACCTCAAATAAACCTAGCTGCTCAGCAAAAACAGCTTGCTTAGTATCCAGATGCAGCTTCAAAACAAATCTCTTATATTCCAGATAGCAACACCACCTTTATAGAAATTAGGAGATATTGTTGTCTAGACTATATTGCAAATATTATATGATTTCATTCTTACAAGAGTACTTGTGTCTCATGGTAGAACTCCATTTTAGGAGTGAAAACTAAGGCCAGTGAGATTGAATCACTTGCCCAATAACACATAGGTGGTAAGCCCTGATAAATCCAGCTCTTTGATTACTAAGTGTGAGATCTTTTCCTCTCCCAACCCAAAACTAGACATAAAGAAAAAAAAATGGTGTTATATGAAAAGGGTGAGAACCTTGAAACATCTAGAGCAGCAGAGGAGAGTAAAAGTCCCAATCAAGCCATCCCAACAGCGGTTAAAATCTCTTCTCACATTCTGAACTCTTCTCTTGGAAGATCTAAACAAAGCCTTTCTCATACCCATCTTCCCAGGCCCCTACTATTGCAACTAAGGAATGAGAAAAGAGAGAAGGAGAAGCTGTTTGTCGTCTCTCTGTTCCTCTCTCTGCATATCTCAGTCTTCTCAGTTTTGTCCTGTTTCTTCTATGAATACAGTGTTGCATTCCTAAAGAAGGTCTTCTCTTTACCGTTTCTTCCATTGACTTACTTAGATGGCTCCAAGAATTCCCTTGAGAGTTGGGGGAAAGGAGGATTTTTTTTTTCCAGCTACACTGAGTCTAAGATGAGTGTCACTTTGAACCCAGCCCAGTTTTAGCATATGGGATTCATTGACGGTGATTCCAGGTTAATTCAAAGGACGGGGCTCTGTATCCTCTGTGGTGTCACATGCAACTGTATTTCCAGTGCTTTGCCTGAGGTCATTGCTCTAGATCACTAATTATCACCAGAGGACATAATTAAATACTGAACTGAGGGTATCGAAAGTACTAGAATTTGATTTGTGAATTAGTTTCTTTCAATTAAGGCAAATGAATATTTATTGAGCATATATTATATGCTAGGCAGTGTGCAAATGTCATCATGTGATCTTTATAGTCATCTTTTAAAGAAGGTGCTGTTATTTTAGCATTTCATGGAAGAGAAAAATCAAAGATCTAAAAGAAAATTTGCCTGAGATCACACAGTTAGGAAGTGCCAGAGCCAGGCTTCAAATCCATCGTTTGGGTTTGCTTTGCAGTGCTTCCCAGATACTTCATCATCAATAGAAGAGAGAATGTGCATCCCAGGGAGGTTTGGGTGGGCCCAGCCTGAGAGGGACCACTGTGGGCAAGAATTATTTTTGAAGTCTTTTATATTATTTTTAAATATATGTGACTTAGACATTCTATTCTGAGCCATTTTCATGTTTATTTTATATCTTTTTAAAATTACTACCGAGAAAAAAATTCTATTTTATTGAGCCTTTTCTCTGCATACCCTCAGCAAACTGCTGTGTCAACCCTGGAGTTTTTTAGTATTCCAGTGTGAAAACTTGAGAGCAGGGAAAATACTACATATTGGCTTAATGACCTCCTACTCTGGGTGAGTAGGTAAAGCAGAATCTGGGAGTAATGTGATGTATACATAAGCACATGGCTACAGTTGATTATAAAATTTTGTGGATATTCAGTGGAGATAGCTTCAACTTGGCGGTGATAGAAAAGTACCAGTATTGGAAAAAAACTGAAACATGTTTCTGAAGGTGAATTTCGACCTTTTGTACTTCTCTGTGAGCTTACTGACCATAGGGATGGTATCTGAGGGGAGTATTTATCTCTGTGTTCCAGCACATGGCCTGGTTGATCAGTTCATTCATTGGTTGGTTGGTTGATTAATGAGCAAAAAAGCGTAGATATTCACAATATTCTGGCTTAGACAATTTCAGAGACATTAAATATTCTGGGACTAATAGTGGGAAGAATTATAATGGAATGTGGTCTTTAATCGCACTATACTGCTTAGAGAATTTTAACACCAAGACCTCTGAGGATCCCTTCAGTCTAATCAGTCCACATCTGCCCCTGGCTACCCGATCATCATCCTCCTTGCCCAGCATCATCTTGTTGCCTTTTCTATGCCAAAATCCCTCACATCTACTCAAAATATATACTCTAAAGCTCTCTGAATGTTATGCTTGCAACAGGACAACCATGCATTTAATACATTTATTTGTCCACTCAACATTTATCTATGGAGCACTTCCTATGTATCTGGCTAGACGGTGCTGGATGCTAAGAAGCAGATCTACTAATATGATAGAGAATTTCAAGTTCAAATGGGTAAAGACTTAAGGTATGTACTGAGATGCCCTTTCTGCCCAGTCTTTTCCAGTGCATTGTATGGGAGTTTCTGGAAATAGCATTCCAGTATTGTTCTCTGACTCTAGTGCAGTGAGCCTAATAACTTAGTTGCATCTTCTCGGAGATCCAAGAGGAAGGTATTGGTTCTACATGTCTCCCACATGTCCTCCATATCATAGGAATTTGCAGTTGAGACATTTTCAGTTACAAGAATATTATTATGAAAATTTAAATTGACTTCAAGTAACTCTTATGTATCAATTCACTATGAAGCAGAGCTAAACTGAAACAGCAGCTAAATGACTGTCCTTTTGGAATTAGGGTTAACACCTCTGCCTTAATGAAACTTTTATAACTTACATAATATTCTGGCAGGAAAGATGCTGGGTAAGTGTAAAGTACGATGATGGCTGTTGCTGTTGCTTCTGTGACATTTGGACAACTTAAACCATATGGCCTAAATGTAACTCTAGATAAATGTATAATTTTAGGTTGATTTAGTTTCAGAGCACTTGGAGTTCTGTTTGAATTAAGAGCCAAATCAAATCCAAGAAACAGGTGTATTTCCAAAAAATGGAAGGGATGTGCATTACCAATGACCCAGTCAACAGATCACTGCTTTAAATCAAATAGTGGTATGTGAAGTAATGTCTAAATATCATTGCCACAAGTTCTGTCCAAGAGCAGTTCCTCAGAATGTCTGCTTTTCTGACTCCTGGCAAGTGTAGTTAAATATATAAATTAATACTTTAGCCTTATGTGAGCATGAAGAATAATCTGACCTGGGAGCCTTAGTAGGGCTTATTCTACTTTAAGAGATGACTGTCAATTAACCAGCGCCCCCGTCTCTCATCTCCACCCTGAAACCCAAGTGCTTCAGATTTTAGATATTTGCATTTTCATCCCTCTGACATGAAAGATACTTGAAGAAAACTAGCTCCAGATTTGTGCAAGCAAGCTCAACTCTTTTAACCTAAGTTGGGCTTATACCATGTACCAGGCTTTGTTCTAAGGACTCTAGAAATAGTAACTCATTTAACTCTAATAACAATCTCATATGGTAGTTACTCTATTATCTTCACTTTACAGATCAAGAGACCAAGGGGCAGAGGAGTGAAGTAATTTGTCTAGGGATCCATAACTCTGAAGTAGTGAATCTCAGATTCTTAACCAAACATGCTAGTTCCCTGTGTCATTTTTGTTTTGTTTTGTTTGTTTGAGACAGGGTGTCACACTATTGCCCAGGCTGGAGTGCAGTGGTATGATCATGGCTCACTGCAGTTTCAATCTCCTGGGCTCAAGTGATCCTCCTACCTCAGCCTCCCGAGCAGCTGGGACTACAGGTGTGCACCACCATGCCCTGGCTAATGTTTTTTTATTTTTAGTAGAGATGAGGTCTTGCTATGTTTCCCAGGCTGGTCTGGAACTCGTGTTCTCAAGTGATCCTCCCACCTTGGCCTCCCAAAGTGCTGGGATTACAGGTGTGAGTCACTGCACAGGGCCTCCCTGTGTTCTTAACCACTGTGCTCTACTACTTGCCCTACCTGAGAGAGTGACTCATTTTTGCTTCTGTCAAACCCATAGAATCTTCCTGGAAAGAGATTAAAAGTCAGATATTTCAACAAGATTTGCTTTTAGGGAAGGGAAAAAAACAAACAAACAACACTCTAAGATTGGCATTACTAATGGTCCTCTATATAACAGAACATATTCCCAATTAAAACCTCTCTGCTTTCCTGGGACACATATGGCCCCATAATTTTTAAGTCCATGATTTTTAAACTGCAGAGCAGGATCTAATAATTACCTTGCTTATCTTGCCCTTTTGTCTAAGAAAAGCGAAGATGTTGTAAATAGGAAATTGCAAATTTTATCAGCTGTGGTTTATACAAGAAACTAAGGTTCTGCTTAGGACAAAACTATGGGCAATCAGGTGGGCCTTTTAAATCTATTCCCAAGACAAAGGCTCAGACTGTGAAATCATGCAATCACTAGGGAAAGGGAATTTCTTAGTATAAATCTTCCAGCATTAAATCTCAACCCCAAGTATCTTTATAAAGAATCTAAGTTGATTTCAGCCACCATGGTAACTAGAAAAGCACAGGAGACTGAAGAAGGTGAAGAAATACAGCAATGAAAACTCCTCAACTCCTCAAGTGCTGTCTGTCTTTACTATTCATTCTGTCGCTTAACAATACCGTATCATGTTTTATGTATTAAATTGGCCCTATGTGTGCGTTTTCTCCCCCAGCTGTATAGTAAGCCCTGGAGGACTGGTTAGCATTTTGTATACCATTGGCACTTCTCAGTGACACAGTGCAGACCTACAGATGGGTTTATCCTTTCACTCACTTCTTCCCACAATCCAGTTTAAAGAACTCTCTCTCTTTGGTTTTTTTTTTTTTTTTTTTTTTTTTTTGAGACGGAGTCTTGCTCTGTTGCCCAGGCTGGAGTGCAGTGGTGTGATCTTGGCTCACTGCAACCTCCGCCTCCTGGGTTCAAGCAATTTTTCTGCCTCCGCCTCCCAAGTAGCTGGGACTATAGGTGCGTGCCACCATGCCTGGCTAATTTTTTGTTTGTTTGTTTGTTTGTTTTGAGATGGAGTCTCGCTCTGTCGCCCAGGCTGGAGTGCAGTGGCACCATCTCAGCTCACTGCAATCTCTGCCTCCCGGGTTCACACCATTCTCCTGCCTCAGCCTCCCGAGTAGCTGGGACTACAGGCGCCCACCACCACACCCGGCTAATTTTTTGTATTTTTAGTAGAGACGGGGTTTCACCATGTTAGTCAGGGTGGTCTCGATCTCCTGACCTCGTGATCTGCATGCCTTGGTCTCCCAAAGTGCCGGGATTACAGGCGTGAGCCACCGCTCCTGGCCTGAAGAATTCTCTTGAGAGGGCAAGAGCTTTGAAGTAAGACAGGCCCGGATATAAATGACTCTGCTAAGGAAGATGTGGATATGAGAAGTCATGGGGATATAGCACTGCCAGAAGCAACCCTTTTAGTGAGTACGTATTATGAATCAGCCACTATTGAGTTGCTGTACATAGCATCTCTACTCTTGACAAACAACAGTCCTCTAGATGAGGACAACAAAGCCCAGAGACGTTAAGTCACTTGCCACTGTCTGTCTCAGAGCCATATCACACCCTGGCTATTGTAACTCATTCCTTTCTGTTATATTTCTCACTTTGGATAAGTTATCCAACCTTGACCTTCAGTTACCTCCTTTTTCGGAATGTTGAAACTCGTATCTACTTTGCAGGCTTTTGTGAGAACTAAGTAAGAAAATGCAAGAAAAGGGTTTATAACTGAGCTACTCTTAGAAGATGCTTCATAAAAATCAGGTAATCAACATCATAGTAGAGAATCAGTTAATAATTAAAATCACCTTCCCTTTCAAAATCCCTTCCCCAATGCTCAAACCCTTAAATCTAAGCATTCATCAACTGCTAACTAAACTAAGAATGAGAATGCGTTATAGGGCCAGGCATGGTGGCTCATGCGTGTAATCCCAGCATTTTGGGAGGCTGAGGCGGGTGGATCACTTGAGGTTAGGAGTTCAAGACTGATCAACATGGTGAAACCCCATCTCTACTAAAAATACAAAACTAGCTGGGCGTGGTGGCACACACTTGTAATCCTAGCTACTCGGGAGGCTGAGGCAGGAGAATTGCTGAACCTGGGAGGCGGAGGTTGCAGTTGCATTGAGCAGGGATTGCACCATTGCACTCCAGCCTGGGCAACAAGAGTAAAACTCCATCTCAAAAAAAAAAAAAAAAAAAAAAGAGAGAATGTTATAATGACACATTATCATTAAATCCAGTTACCAGGTCTCCTAATGAAGTTTTGTTCTGAGATAGGTTATTGTGGGTTAGACCCTCCACACTCTGTCCAGATTGCCACTCATGCACCCTGAGATCTCTGACTGGAATCGGCGGCCTTTGAATTGCGCTATGATGTCTCTTTCTCATAATGGCCTGCCACTGCCTACTGTTCCTGGTTATTTCCTCCTCGTCTGAAAATTAATTCATTGCAGCTTTGAAATTTCATAACCAAAAAATCCTAAAAGTCTTAGTATCTCAAAGCCTTTATAAACCTCATAGATAAGGTTTACAGTGATAAAACGCAGTTGTAGCTTGTGCCTTGGGAATCAGATGCACAGTGGCTTGTATCTTTCTGCACATTGTAAAAAATATATGTGTCTTGATATTCTAGAATATGTTTGAATATTCAAAAGGGACAGCTAGTTATGTAGAGTGATATATGGGTAATGTTGAATATCTTTTTTTCCCCACCAAAAGTGGTTAACTACCTATTTCTTTGCAATTGCCCTGTGTGGTTCCTTCAATGCAGACTGGGCAGACAAAATAATACACACTTGGGAAAGCTTCCTCTGTTTTGCAGTGGTGACATTTCACTGCCTTAAAGCCTGCATTTCTTACTTTTACAAACTTGTCACAAACTTTCACCATAATGTCCAAGTCTCCCCTGAAGATTGTGCAAAGCGAAATCAAAATTCTTGCACAGCTTTAATGATGACATCAGTGGTGAGAAAAAGATTATGCACGCACATACACAAATCCAGCTGGTACATGAGCATAAATAACAGTTTGGTGACAGCAGAAAAGTATTGATGCCTTTCAAATTTGATGTCTTTCCCTGAAGAAATTTGCTGATTTGCTGTGTTGAATTTAGGCTAGTTCTCTCTTTTCTTGATAAATCTATTTTTTTTCTCACTTTCTTAAGTTATTATGCATTCGTAAACTACATCTTGAAAGATCATAGTTGTCATCACCCACCCCAATTTTTCTTCTGCAGATAATCTAGGGAACTTTTTTAACCTTTATTTTGGCACTTGATGAACAGCAAGATATTAATACATTTAACAGAAACGGGAAAAATAACTTGAGTAGCCAATATCTGCGCTCCAGAGAGAAAAGTTTTGATAGCACAAAGTAATAATACTGGTAATAATTTAGGAACATGCATATATTAGTATGCCTCTAATTTAAGAGCTAATTATCTTTGTTTTCATTCTTAAAAACAAATTTGTTTTTTCCATTAAATATAAAAATGGTTCCACCTTCTAGCAACCCCTTCATTAAAACTATGCAAATAATTCAAACAAAGAAATTACCACATAATTGGGCCATATTACGCATAATTTATTATGCCTTTTCAGTCTTTAGATAATAGTTTATTTGTATAAATAATTTTTATAGTACTTCGGTGTTGTGTAGGGAGGATACAGTGTCCAGAATGAAAGAAGCAGTGTGATTAGTTGATGAGGTGTTGACATTGCCTTTATTTTATTATAGCTACACAGGTTGATTAGCATCATAACATTAGAATAAATCTGCATACAATTAAAATAAAACATAATGCCAAAAAAAAAGCACACAAAACTTATTGACCTGATTCAATAAGTTCTGGTATAGCTGAAATTTTGCTTTAAAAAATTGTCCACCAGTGTTCTTTTGCTTATTTTTTTCAGATGCGTTTTCTTTGACTGTTTTTCTTTACCTTTCTGAAAGATATTTATAACTCTCCAGGGTGCACCATCCTACTGAGATAACTGTGTTCTTAGATGCTTGAAGACAAAGATGAACAGCTCACTTGTGGTGTGTGGTTATCTCATTATCTCTACCCACCCTGTTGTAGGGTATTGCTTGAGCTACAGTGAACTGTTTGCCCTGCTGGCAAACAAGCCCCTTGCAGCTCATGACACGTGTTTTAACCGTTATTTAGGCGCACTCTTCGCAGTGAGCCTGAATATGCCCTTAGGCTCCCAATGAAAAGGGAGCTTAATGATGTGTCAAAAATTGCACTACAAGGGCCCACAATAAATTCAGACTTTGTAAGTACAGGAGCCAACAGGGCAGCTGGAATTTAAGGTAGTGCTCACAACCAGACCACTTGTCATGAAGTCATTCTGAAGGGGAGTAGGGAAGTGTGTGTGTGTGTGTGTGTGTGTGTGTGTGTGTGTGTTCAGCTAGCCCAAAGCAAGAGAAAGGAACCTGTGTGAAAATGACTGAGAGAAGTCAAAGGATAAGCTGGAAACCATGAGTCAAAGAAGCCAAATACATGTTTTCAAAACAATTTATAGAGGGAGATATAAATGTTCACATCGTCGATCAAAGAAATCACAGACATATTTTCCCAGCAAAAATAACCTTAGGTAGAAATGAAGCTTTGAAAGCTTGGGTCTTCTTGGGGAAGGTGCGGTGATTACCTGGGAACTTTCTTTTCTTACATTGAAGAAAGTACAGGTAAAACTGGATAACTTTTCTAACCCCCTTGGCAATGGAAGTAGCTTCTCATTGTATTTTCTCTTAATCTAGTTTAGAACAATGGCTTATGCAAGGAGGGAATGCATTATAAAGTAACTCTCAAACATTTGTGTAAAGAGATGCAGACCTTTTATTTTCCTAAAGCAGCTGTTGAATAATGAACTCAAAGTGGAATTAATTAAGGATACCACAGAAACTGTAGGGCCCTTGGGATTGCCCCATTTTTCAAAAATCTTTTAATACCCTAATCAAGCATCAGCAGGTTCATTAAAGAAGCTTGTCCTAGGTTGCTACTTGATCAGTAAAGGATTCCGTAGAAGCGTTTCTTCTTTTGAATTTATCTTTTTCCCTCCTCTCTAGCCTGAATATTATTAGCGTTAACAGATTTCATCTCATCTTTTTTATTGTTATTGCAAGAACTAAATATCTAAATATTTGCCACCAGAAGATGTGTATGCCTAGAATTAGTGATCCTTAAAAACTTAAGAGCCTAAAATAGTATATTTGCCTCAGAAATATGTATATATTGTGTTCCCATAAAATTGTGAACATTTACATTCTTAAACATGTTAAGCTGAATTTAATTTGAAAAGAGCTTTTAAAATAAAACTCATTAAAGCTTAGCAAATTTCATTACACAAAGGATTCTTATTTAAGCACCTTTGACTCCTAAAAATGGACCCTGGAGACAAGATGGAACACTGTGCTCAATGGCTAAAATGTTAGGTGTCTATCAGCTGTAAGAAGAAAATTTGCAGTGTGTCCTTAAAGTACATTCAAAAATTATTTCTAGCATTTACATTTGGGAGTTTAAAAACTGCA
Source organism: Homo sapiens (assembly GCF_000001405.40). Classification (NCBI taxonomy): domain Eukaryota; kingdom Metazoa; phylum Chordata; class Mammalia; order Primates; family Hominidae; genus Homo; species Homo sapiens. The sequence goes on along the minus strand of NC_000005.10, from coordinate 94,831,485 downwards.
CAAGGATCTTATAAAAAAATCTTTTGCAAACATATTTTTATTTGTGTATAGTTCCAAAAGACAAAACAAGTGTTTTATAATTTGTTGCAAATTGGAAACATATAGCAGTGGTTTGAAGGTTCCTGTTGGAGACCTAGTGATGGACGATTGGATAAACCAGAACATAATCTATAGGCCCATTTTGACCTTTTCAGGAATAGCCTTGACTTGATGTCATCAACTTGGAACTACTTTATTCTGTAGTCATAGAGCAGTCTGAGCACCTAGAAATTTTCTTGGCATTTCTGCTTATCAACTTAACTCTCAGTCTCCAATCTATTGGCAATGCGGCATGTTTTACTAATATTGGTGTTGAGTTCTTGACCCTGCACTTCAGTAGCCTACACTTTAAAGACGTCTATAGCATCATGTCTTCTGATAATCTAACAGCAGAGTCTTTTATATCTAGACATGGACTAGGATCTGGATCTAATTATCTTTAATTTGTTAATGTTTTACCATTTACAAGGCATGTGCACATCCATTACCTTCAAAACAATCCTGCATGATTGTTTGGGCCATAGTTCACCCAAAGTGCCCCAATTACTGGGTGGTAGAATTGGAGCTAAACCTGAGACTATATGCAGTGTTTATTCACCATTCTATATTTCCTCTCAGTTTAAGAAGAGTCAGTGAAATTTAAGAAATGACCCATCTTGTCTGTGTTTAGAAATCTCTGTCAAGAGGAAGACTGAGAAGAGCGTGACCGTGAGGTAGCACCCCCATGTGGAAACATGAGGAATGTTCACTCTCAATTATATATTTCCTCCATAAGGAACTTAGTCAGATATATGAATTCTCATATTGGAGATGCTGGAATTAAATAGGACTTAAAGAAACCCACAGTTATATAGCATAATTCCATGAAAGACCATCAGTATGACAGACATTAGGATCTCAGAGCTATTTCCAGCTGGTAAATTGATAGACACCTCAATGGTCCCAATGTGAACTTTTAAAACCTGTGTCATCTCTTACTCTGTAGAAGATCCTAAAATTCCATGAGAAAAGAAATGTTACTTTTTAAAAATAAATATTAAATTTGGAAGTAAAAGCAGGGAAGTTGTCTTCTAATACTGCAAGGGCTACTTTTAATATTTTTGGATACTTAATTATAAATACAAATGTCAGGGATAGCTTACTGTGATGTATAGAAGCCCATGTAAATAGTTGTACTTCTTGAGAGTGAGTTTCTAACATTCACCCTTTCTCCTACCTGTGGAAGAATACTAAAAGGTGATGTTTTCCTGGTCTGTGGCCAGAAAAATAAAGGAGTTTGGTTTTGGTTTTGTTTGTTTGTTTTAATCTTTTGTTTACCTCTGTAGATGGTAACAGAGAAGAATGTATTTGAAGTGAAACAAATACCAGACTCTTTCTTGGGAATTAACATGAAACATCCCGAATGCTGCCTCTGCTGAGTTAGATACTATAAAGAGTGTGGCTGCATTTTCCATGAGATGGTAAGAGCTACTCACTCACAAAGCAGGATGAATAGCGAGACAGCATAGCATAGATTCATGCAAAGCAGTGGATGATACAAGAAGAGAGATAGAAGTTTATAGTGAAGAGCTGGCAGTTGTGTGTTGCTAATACTCAGGGCTGAACCTTCAAGAAAAAAACTCATTCTGAGAGTTCAGAAGATTACACACTTCTGAGGCAGAACTGTGAACACATTCCATCTCTGTCCTATATCCTTCATTTTCTCTGTTACCTTTCTTTGCTCTACCTTACTTTTCTCTCATCTATTTTTACATGCTCCCTTTCTTCCTTTTAGGACATCTTTTTCCCATCTTTTATTTTTCCTTTCCCCCATGTCTCCTTCTATTCCCATCCTGTTGTGTTTATCTGTCCCCGTTAACTGACCATGATGTGGAGCTGAAGAGAGACACGCATAGTGATTAAGAGCCAAGGTTCTAGAGTCAGCCAGGAAACTGGCTCTGCTATGTGATCGTGAGCATCTTATTAGGTTGGTGCAAAAGTAATTGCGGTTTTGCCTTTTAAAAAATTTAAAACGGATATCTGGGCAAGATGGCCGAATAGGAACAGCTGTGGTCTGCAGCTCCCAGCGAGACCAACGCAGAAGGCAGGTGATTTCTACATTTTCAAATGAGGTACCCGGTTCATCTCACTGGGACTTGTTAGACGGTGGGTGAAGCCCACAGAGGGCGAGCTGAAGCAGGGTGGGGCGTCGCCTCACCCAGGAAGCACAAGGGGTTGGGGAACTCCCTCCCCTAGTCAAGGGAAGCCATGAGGGACCATGCCGTGAGGAACAGTGCATTCTGGCCCAGATACTATGCTTTTCCCGTGGTCTTCACAACCCACAGATCAGGAGGTTCCCTCAGGTGCCTACACCGCCAGGGCCCTGGGTTTCAAGCACAAAACTAGGCGGCCATTTGGGCAGACACTGTGCTAACTGCAGGAGTTTTTTTTTTGTTGTTGTTGTTTGTTTGTTTTTTTCATACCCCAGTGTCTCCTGGAACACCAGAGAGACAGAACTGTTTACTCCCCTGGAAAGGGGGCTGAAGCCAAGAAGCCAAGTTGTCTTGCTCAGTGGATCCCACGGAGACCAGTAAGCTAAGATCCACTGGCTTGAAATTCTTGCTGCCAGCACAGCAGTCTGAAGTCGATCTGGGACCCTCAAGCTTAGTGATGGGGAGGGACACCCGCCATTGCTGAGGCTTGAGTACCCCTCACAGTGTAAACAAAGCTGCCAGGAAGTTCGGAATGGGCAGAGCCCACCGCAGCTCAGCAAAGCTACTGTAGCCAGACTGCCGCTCTAGATTCCTCCTCTCTGGGCAGGGCATCTTTGAAAGAAAGGCACCAGCCCTAGTCAGGGGCTTATAGATAAAACTGACACCTCTCCAGGTCAGAGCACCTGGGGGAAGGGGCGACTGTGGGAGCAGCTTAAGCAGACTTAAAATGTTCCTGCCTGCCAGCTCTGAAGAGATGAGAGGATCTCCCAGCAATGCGCTCAAGCTCTGCCAAGGGACAGTCTGCTTCCTTAAGTGGGTCCTTGACCCCCGTGCCTCCTGACTGGGAGACACCTCCCATCACAGGTCGACAGACGCCTCATACAGGAGAGCTCCAGCTGGCATCTGGCAGGTGCCCCTCTGGGATGAAGATTCCAGAGGAAGGAACAGGCAGCAATCTTTGCTGTTCTGCAGCCTCTGCTGGTGATACCCAGGCAAACAGGGTGGACCCCCAGCAAACTCCAGCAGACCTGCAGAAGAGGAGCCTGACTGTTAGAAGAAAACTAACAAATAGAAAGCAATAGCATCAACATCAACAAAAAGGATGACCACGCAAAAACTCCATCCGAAGTCACCAACAGCAAAGACCAAAGGTAGATAAGTCCATGAAGATGAGGAAAAACCAGTGCAAAAAGGCTGAAAATTCCAAAAACCAGAATGCCTCTTCTCCTCCAAAGGATCACAACTCCTCACCAGCAAGAGAACAAACTGAACGGAAAATGAGTTTAACGAATAGTAGGCTTCAGAAGGTGGGTAATAACAAACTCCTCTGAACTAAAGGAGCATGTTCTAACCCAATGCAAGGAGGCTAAGAACCTTGATAAAAGGTTAGAGGAATTGCTAACTAGAAAAACCAGTTTAGAGAAGAACATAAATGACCTGACGGAGCTGAAAAACACACCACAAGAACTTCGTGAGGCATACACAAGTATCAATCCCAAAACCAATCAAGCAGAAGAAAGGATATCAGAGATTGAAGATCAACTTAATGAAAAAAAAGTGAAGAAAAGATTAGAGAAAAAAGAATGAAAAGGAATGAACAAAGCCTCCAAGAAATATGGGACTATGTGAAAAGACCAAACCTACATTTGATTGGTGTACCTGAAGGTGACATGGAAAATGCAACCAAGTTGGAAAATACACTTCGGGATATTGGGAGAACTTCCCCAACCTAGCAAGGCAGGCCAATATTCAAATTCAGGAAATACAAAGAACACCACAAAGATACTCCTCGAGAAGAGCAACCCCAAGACACATAATTGTCAGATTCACCAAGGTTGAAATGAAGGAAAAAATGTTAAGGGCAGCCAGAGAGAAAGATCGGGTTACCCACAAAGGTAAGCCTATCAGACTAACAGTGGACCTCTCTGCAGAAGCCCTACAAGCCAGAAGAGAGTGGGGGCCAATATTCAACACTCTTAAAGAAAAGAATTTTCAATCCAGAATTTCATATCCAGCCAAACTTAGCTTCATAAGTGAAGAAGAAATAAAATCCTTTACAGACAAGCAAATGCTGAGGGATTTTGTCACCACCAGGTCTGCCTTACATGAGCTCCTGAAGGAAGCACTAAATATGGAAAGGAAAAACCAGAACCGGCCACTGCAAAAACAAACCAAAATGTAAAGCCCATTGACACTATAAGGAAACTGTATCAGCTAATGGGCAAAATAACCAGCTAGCATCATAATGCAGGATCAAATTCACACAAAACAATATTAGCCTTAAATGTAACAGGCTAAATGCCCCAATTAAAAGACACAGATTGGCAAATTGGATCAAGATTCAAGACCCATCAGTGTGCTGTATTTAGGAGACTTATCTCAAAAGCAAAGACACACACAGGCTCAAAATAAAGGGATGGAGGAAGATTTACCAAGCAAATGAAAAGCAAAAAAAAAAAAAAAAAAAAAAAAAAAAAAAAAAGCAGGGGTCACAACCCTACTCTCTGATAAAACAGACTTTAAGTGGATGTGTCAACTTCCTCTTTTTCCAGCTGGAACCATGGAGTGTGTATAAGAGAAGAAGAGAAGGTTCCTGCTGTGCCAGAAACCCTCAAGAAAAAGTGAAGGAATTTTGCAGAGCTGAAGATCAAGAGCCTGAGAAAGAAGTTTGCCCAAAAGATGCTTTGAAAGGGAAGGAGGAAGCTTCTATGAAAAAATGAAGCACTATCACAAGGAATATAGGCAGATGTACAGAACTGAAATTTGAATGGCGAGGATGACAAGAAAAGCTGGCCACTTCTGTGTTCCTGAAGAACCCAAATTGGCATTTGTCATCAGGATCAGAGGTATCAATGGTGTGAGCCAAAAGGTCTGAAAGCTGTTGCAGCTTCTTTGCCTTCATCAAATCCTCAGTGGAACCTTTGTGAAGCTCAAGAGGCTTCAGTTAACATGCTGAGGATTGTAAAGCCATATATTGCATGGGGGTTCCCAAATCTAAAGTTAGTAAATGAACTAATCTACAAGCATGGTTATAGCAAAATCAATAAGAAGCAAATTGCTTGGACAGATAATGCTTTGATTGCTCGATCTCTTGGTAAATATGGCATCATCTGCATGGAGGATCTGATTCATGAGATCTGTACTGTTGGAAAATGCTTCACAGAAGCAAATAACTTCCTGTGATCCTTCAAAGTATCTTCTCCACGAGCCAGAATGAAGAAACAGAGCACCCATTTTGTAGAAGGTGGAGATGCAACAGGGAGGACCAGATCAACAGGCTTATTAGAAGAATGATCTAAGTTGCCTACCATGATTATTTTTCTAAGCTGGTCAGTTAATAAACAGGACCTGCTCTCAAATTGAAAAAAAAAAAATAGATGTTAAACTAACAAAGATCGAAAAGACAAAGTAGGGCATTACATAATGGTAAGGGGATCAATGCAATAAGAAGAGCTAACTATCCTAAATGTGTGTGTGTGTGTGTATATATGTATATGTATGTATGTATATATATATATGCACCCAATACAGGAGCACCCAGATTCATAAAGTAAGTTCTTAGAGACCTACAAAGAGACTTAGACTCCCACACAATAATAGTGGAAGACTTTAACACCCCACTGTCAATATTAGACAGATCAACGAGACAGAAAATTAACAGGGATGTTCAGGACTTGAACTCAGCTCTGGACCAAGTGGACCTAATAGACACCCACAGAACTCTCCACCCCAAATCATCAGAATATACATTCTTCTCAGCACCACATAGCACTTATTCTAAAATTGACCACATAATTGGAAGCAAAACCCTCCTCAGCAAATGCAAAAGAACAGAATTCATAACAAACAGTCCCTCAGACCACAGTGCAATCAAATTAGAACTCAGGATTAAGAAACTCATTCAAAAACTGCAAAACTACATGGAAATTGAACAACCTGCTCCTGAGTGACTACTGAGTAAATAACAAAATTAAGGTAGAAATAAATAAGTTCTTTGAAACCAATGAGAACAAAGACACAACATACCAGAATCTTCCGCACACAGCTAAAGCAGTGTTTAGAGGGAAATTTATGGCACTAAATGCCCACAGGAGAAAATGGGAAATATCCAGAATTGACACCCTAACATCACAATTAAAAGAACTAGAGAAGCAATAACAAACAAATTCAAAAGTTAGCAGAAGACAAGAAATAACTAAGATCAGAGCAGAACTGCAGGAGATAGAGACATGAAAAACCCTTCAAAACAATCAGTGTATCCAGGGGCTGGTTTTTTGAAAAGATTAACAAAATAGATAGTCTGCTAGCCAGACTAATAAAGAAGAAAAGAGAGAAGAATCAAATAGACACAATAAAAAATGATAAAGGGAATATCACCACTGATCCCACAGAAATACAAACTACCATCAGAGAATACTATAAACACCTCTACGCAAATAAACTAGAAAATCTAGAAGAAATGGATAAATTCCTGGACACATACACCCTCCCAAGACTAAACCAGGAAGTAATTGCATCCCTGAATAGACCAATAACAAGTTCTGAAACTGAGGCAGTAATTAGTAGCCTACCAACCAAAAAAAGCCCATGACCAGATGGATTCACAGCTGAATTCTACCAGAGGTACAAAGAGGAGCTGGTAACCATTCCTTCTGAAACTATTCCAAGCAATAGAAAAAGAGGGACTCCTCCCAAACTCATTTTATGAGGCCAGCATCATCCTGATACCAAAACCTGGCAGAGACACAACAAAAAAAGAAAATTTCAGGCTAATATTCCTGAGGTGCGAAAATCCTCAGTAAAATACTGGCAAAACGAATCCAGCAGCACATTAAAAAGCTTATCCACCACTACCAAGTCAGCTTCATCCCTGGGATGCAAGGCTGGTTCAACATATGCAGATCAATAAACGTAATCCATCACAAAAACAGAACCAATGACAAAAACCACATGATTAGCTCAATAAATGGAGAAAAGGCCTTCAATAAAATTCAACACCCCTTCATGCTAAAAACATTGAATAAACTGGTATTGATGCAACATATCTCAAAATAATAAGAGCTATTTATGAGAAACCCACAGCCAATATCATCCTGAATGGGCAAAAGCTGGAAGAATTCCCTTTGAAAACCGGCACAAGACAAGGATGCCCTCTCTCACCATTCCTATTCAACATAGTATTGGAAGTTCTGGCCAGGGCAATCAGGCAAGAGAGAGAAATAAAGCGTATTCAAATAGGAAGAGAAGAAGTCGAAGTATTTCTGTTTGCAGATGACATGATTGTATATTTAGAAGACCTCGTTGTCTCTGCCCAAAAACTCCTTTAGCTGATAAGCAACTTCAGCAAAGTCTCAGGATAAAAAATCAATGTGCAAAAATCACAAGCATTCCTATACACCAATAATAGACAAACAGAGAGCCAAATCATGAGCAAACTCCCATTCACAATTGCTACAAAGAGAATCAAATACCTAGGAATACAGCTTACAAGGGATGTGAAGGACCTCCCCAAGGAGAACTACAAACCACTGCTCAAGGAAATAAGAGAGAACACAAACAAATGGAAGAACATTCCATGCTCATGGATAGGAAGAATCAATATTGTGAAAATGACCATACTGCCCAAAGTGATTTATAGATTCAATGTTGTTCCCATCAAGCTACCATTGACTTTCTTCACAGAATTAGAAAAAACTACTTTAAATTTCATATGAAATCAAAAGAGACCCCATATAGCCAAGACAATCCTAAGCAAAAAGAACAAAGCCGGATGCATAATGCTACCTGACTTCAAACTATACTACAAGGCTACAGTAACCAAAGTGGCATGGTACTGGTACCAAAACACATATATAGATCAATGGAACAGAACAGAGTCCTCAGAAATAACACCACACATTTACAACCATCTGATCTTTGGCAAACCTGACAAAAGCAGTGGGGAAAGGATTCTCTATTTAATAAATGGTGCTGGGAAAACTGGCTAGCCATATACTGAAAACTTAAACTGGACCCTTCCTTACACCTTATACAAAAATTAACTTGAGATGGATTAAAAACTTAAACGTAAGACCTAAAACCATAAAAACCCTGGAAGAAAACCTAGGCAATACCATTCAGGACACAGGCATGGGCAAAGACTTCAGGACTAAAACACCAAAAGCAATGTCAACAAAAGCCAAAATTGACAAATGGAATCTAATTAAACCATAGAGCTCCTGCACAGCAAAAGAATCTATCATCAGAGTGAACAGGCAACCTACAGAGTGGGAGAAAAGTTTGCAATCTATCCATCTGACAAAGGGCTAATATCCAGAATCTATAAGAAGCCTACACAAATTTACAAGAAAAAACCCCATCAAAAAGTGGATGAAGGATATGAACAGACACTTTTCAAAAGAAGACATTTATGCAGCCAACAAACATATGAAAAAAAGCTCATCATCACTGGTCATCAGAGAAATGCAAATCAAAACCACAGTGAGATACCATCTCATGCCAGTTAGAATGGCGATCATTAAAAATTCAGGAAACAACAGATGCTGGAGAGGATGTGGAGAAATAAGAACACTTTTACACTGTTGGGAGTGTAAATTAGTTCAACTGTTGTGGAAGACAGTGTGGTGATTCCTCAAGGATCTAGAACTAGAAATACCACCTGACCCAGCAATCTCATTACTGGGTATATACCCTAAGGATTATAAATCATTCTACTATAAAAACACATGCACATGTATGTTTATTGCAGCACTATTCACAATAGCAAAGACTTAGAACCAACCCAAATGCCCATCAATGTTAGACTGGATAAAGAAAATGTGGCACATATACACCATGGAATATTATGCAGCCATAAAAAATAATGAGTTCATGCCCTTTGCAGGGACATGGATGAAGTTGGAAACCATCATTCTCAGCGAACTAACACAGGAACAGAAAACCAAACACCGCATGTTCTCACTCATAAGTGGGAGTTGAACAATGAGAACATATGGGCACAGGGAGGGAACATCACACACCAGGGCATGTTTGAGGGTGGGGGACAAGGAGAGGGATAGTATTAGGAGAAATACCTAATGTAGATGATGGGTTGATGGGTGGAGCAAACCGCTATGGAACATGTATACCTATGTAACAAACCTGCATGTTCTGCACATGTATCCCAGAACTTAAAGTATAATAAATAAATTAATTAACAGATATGAAAACCATGCAAAAAAAATTTAATGGCAAAACTGCAGTTACTTTTGCAGCAACCTAATATTTAAACCTCTTTGAGCCACATGCTACTCATCTGTAAAATCAAGCTAATGGTATAACGTAATTCACAGTTACTAAAAAGAAAATGCAGCTCACCCTCAAACAACATAAGTTTGAACTGCAAGGGTTCACTTATATATGGATTTTTTTCAATCAAATGCAGATAGAAAATACAGTATCCAGGGGATGTGAGGCCCACATATAGGATGGGCCAATTTTTTTATGTACCTGGTTTCCTCAGGGCCAATTGCAGGACTTGAGTGTGTATAGGTTTTTGTATCAGAGGGTGGTCCTGGAACCAATCTCTGGTGTATACCAAGGGACAACTGTATAGTATAATGCCATTTAGCACAGTTTCTGAAACATACTAAATGCTTAATAAGTGTAGGCTTTTTATTTGTACTGGGAAAATATGGAAGTAATGGAAATATATTACAAATATACATACAATATTACAAATTGCATGTCTAAATAAAGGAATCACACTGATGGTTAGAGAACAGGAGGAAAAAATACGTTAATTCTAGTGCTGAAGGTGGCACATAAAATGCAGAGCTCAAGTACTAGACAGGGGAAGATCAAAATGTCGAATCTGTGTTTCCCAGAAGGTCGATGAAGGGAAACCCTATCAGATACATGATTCACAATTTTCTTGATATTTCTATTTTAAGCCCATTAGTTGCTCAGTGTAAGCCCAACTATTTCCAGTACTAAGACCGCAAAAGCTCTTATTCAAGAGCCTTTATAAAGCTGACACTGTATAATGTGAACAAAATCTCCAGAGTTAAATACAGTTTTGTGTTTCACAGAATTCTTTCATTTAACTTCCCTCAGTAGAGGCTGCTGCTGCAACACCAAAATGCAGTTCCGTCAAAGCAACTCTAGCACTATATACAGACGATGAAATTTGGAGCCAGATAGACTTGGTTTGAATTGTGTAAAATGCCATTTACTTGCTGGGTGGCCTTGAGCAAGCTATTTGACAGTGCTGGGAGTGTTTCCTGATCTGGAAAAGAGATATTAACCCCTACCTTGCATGGTTATTTTAAAGATTATTACTCAAGTATGAAAAGCGCCTATCTCAGTGCTAGGCACAGGGACACAATAACTATTGAGGTAACATAGCTATGGGGTTTAAGTATGTTACTCTCAAATGGTTTGGCTAAATCCAAAAATACAATTTAGAAGATCTAAAAAGGAATGTATGTCCTTCAGGCAACCTTCCATAAATACAATTTCTCACAACTGATTTTTGATAGGCACTGGGCAGCAAGCGTTCAGCGTTATCCTCTTTTGACAAGTACTTGGAGTGCAAATATTCTGTTGCCAATTAGGGACAGACCATGCTTTAAGCCTCAGCTGAGATGGGAATATAGTTGACAACTCTTTTAAAAGTTGAGAAGTCTAACCAAAACATAAATCTGTAAAATGCCACCTCGCCTCCACATGGACATGGGCTGAGAATGGGACAAGATTTTTTCTCACAAACCTCAAAATTCTATGCCAAAGAGCATGACTGTGATTATTTTAGCCTGCAAAAAATGTTAAAGAAGGTGTTATGAAACTCCCACTACCATAGGCATAAAGAAGGTCCCATTAGAGCAACCATTGAACAGCTAACCTTATAACTTCCTGTGAGTCCTTCGCCAAAACTTGCTATGCTTTGGTGATAAGATCCTGTTCAGAGTGGTTAACTGTAACTAACTTGAGTGCTTCAGAGCATCTGCCAAAAATAATCATTTGGGTTTTAGAATGATTAATCTCGAGCTATTTTTTAATACTGATTAAATAGTCAGATATTTGTTTTTTAAGCTCACACCTATTTTGTGACAATAAAGCCATGACATCAATATGTTAGGAAACACTTTTTCTGTTGTTTCCTTTTGCTTTGCATCCAGTCAGTCAAAAGTGACAAGTCATCAAGGTACAAGTTAAAAAGAAGTTGCCACATGGTGTAAAAGAGGGTAGAACACATCTGGTTTTATCTCACTGAAAATTCTTGTCCATCAAGACAACTTTTCCACAAAACCCAATTCAAGATAACACAGAAGGACAGGTTCTATAGGATCATTAATCATTGGATGCCCAGAGGACTTCGTGCAACTTATCTATAATGAATTTCTGCCCATCTTGAAAAGTTCCAGAATGAACTATCTGAAAACGTATTGTTTGTGGCCAATTTTCCTAAAAGCTGCAGGAGTCAATGGTAAAATATTGTGCCTACAATCCTCCTGCTGTTAGGTAAAATTTTGGCCTGAGATGGTTGACTGGTGAATTATCATGGAGAAGACTCACTCAGAATGTCTAGTGATATAAAAAGGTCAATAATTTTGGAGAATAAATAATCACCTCTTTTTAACAGGATGGCCACATTGGACCTATTGTCTACCCTTAGAATTGACATAGATGAACACTTCTGCAAAGATTGGAAACCACCCTTAAACAGATGTGAAGGCAGGAAATCTATGAATATTGTGTTTATCTCAACCTTTCTGAAAAACTGTACGCTGAAGAGTGCTAAGGGAAGCCAATCAGAGACAAGGAGTATAAATTTGAAGTAGTTAGGCCAGGCATGGTGGCTCATGCCTGTAATCCCAGCACTTTGAGAGGCCGAGGCAATCGGATCACCTGAGGTCAGGAGTTTGAGACCAGCCTGGCCAACATGGTGAAACTCCGTCTCTACTAAAAATACAAAAAAGTAGCCATGTGTGGTGGCACACGCCTGTAATCCTAGCTCCTCATGGGAGCCGAGGCAGAAGAATGGCTGGAACCCAGGAGGCAGAGGTTTCAGTGAGCCGAGATCGTGCCATTGTACTACAGCCTGGGTGACAGAGTGAGACTCCATCTCGAATGAATGAAAGAATGAATGAATGAATAAATAAATAAATAAATAAATAAATAAATAAATAAATAAATTTGAAGTAGTTTATCTTGCTTTATGTAACTGGGTAAAGAAACCAACCAAGTCAACTGAGATTTGGAAATCTACACCCCCACTCACTGCATTTACACCCTAGGAAATTATGACACTAAAATAACCCCTTGTTCTAAATTCTAAGACCTAACAGTCAAATTCAGTTCCTCCCATGTAGGTTATCTGAATTTTCTAAGATGATGAGAAAAATTGAATTTGGTAAGATCTTGGGTGTTCTCTTTCAAATTAAATTTTATCCAGTCATTCCGTCTGACCATCCTAGTCAAACAGGTAGCAGGAAGGTAAGTCTCACACTTGCCAGAACACAGATTGGATTAGAGACAGTTTTAATTTACCAGGAGGCCATTGAGAAGAAGAAAGAAGACCTTCCTTCATTAAAGTTTCTACCACATGGTTGCAGTCTCTTCTCTTTCCTGACTGTAGAAGAGAAAGGGTAGAGCCATCACAGCTATCAGAAGGAGAGTAATTGTAGCCCTTAACCTACTTTATCTATTTTATAGTCTACTCTCTAGGAAGCCTCTAGCGCAGTATGTAAACTCCATATGGCCTGTTGATGGTGTTCGAGAAGAGTGAGAATTTTTAGTCAATAACTCATAATGGGTCTTTAAATTAGCTGATCACCTGAAACACTCAGGGAATAACTAAAAATGCAGATTCCAGGCCCTACTGCCAGAGATTCTAATTATGTCTGATGGGGGCCAGGTGTGATGGATGAATTTAAAATTTTTCAAAATCTGTAAGAATTACACCAAGATGTTTAAATGGTCCTTTTTACTTACTTTTGTATGTGTATCTGTGGAAGGCCAAATCATACTTTCAGACATGTCTGCTTCAGGGGCTAAAAGAATTCAATCAGACCTTAGTTTCTTGCCATATCTTGGCTTGGTTTTCCTCTGCGTTAGCATTCATCTTAGACAGGATTTCCCGTAAGTGGCCATAAATATCTTCAGGTTTACCTTCTTCTAGCTTTTGTTCAGGGGAAAAAAGATTCTTTTTTGCTGTAATCCCAAAGACCCACAGTTGAGTCTCACTGTTCTGATTTGCCCATCCTTGAACCGATTAGTATAACCAGGAGCAGCTGATACTCTTTTTGACCAGGTCTGGGTCAAATGTCCACCACGCAGAGCCAGGGGTGGAACCGGCACCACCAGAAACCATCAACTAAAAGTGGGGGAGGGTTTCCCCAAGGAAAATCAGAGTGCTGAACAGAAGAACAAGAGAGCCCAATCGTAAGAGATGATGGATCGGCCAACAGTTCCTAAAAAGGGCCAAAATCATATATGTAAACCAATAATGGTTCAGATGAGAAGAGGAAATATGTATAAATACAAATCGATCCACGATCTTTGGTAAAACATGCTGCCTTCCCCATAATAACTTACTTGTATTGCAGATTAAGTCTGATTAGTACAACTACAATATACCTAGAATTGAGGTTGAAGTGTAACAAAAGAAACAATAAGACAATAGGAAAAATCCCTCAGAAACCAGCACTGTACTTTTTATAGTAATCAGTGCTTCAGGGAACTGAGACCCTTGTAATTGTCAAAAAGATGGTGGAGTTCAAAGGTTAAGAGGTAGCAAGTTTCAACTCCTTCTGCATAGTAAACCAGTTTGTTTGTTTGTTTGTTTGTTTGTTTGTTTGTTTGTTTTGAGACAAGAGTCTCACTGTCGCCCAGGTTGGAGAGCAGTGGCGCGATCTCGGCTCACTGCAACCTCCGCCTCATGGGTTCAAGCGATTCTCATGCCTCAGCCTCCCAAATGGCTGGGATTACAGGCATGCGGCATGCCACCACACCCAGCTAATTTTTGTATTTTTAGTAGAGACGAGGTTTCACCATGTTGGCCAGGATGGTCTCGATTTCCTGACCTCGTGATCCGCCTGCCTCGGCCTCCCAAAGTGCTGGGATTACAGGTGTGAACCACCGCACCCAGCCCAGACACAGTTTAGCTGTGCCAAAACACTGGGTGAGTCTTGAAGGTTTGAGATGATAAGAGATTTTCAACAAGACATAGGGCTTCTCTGTTACAGGTTTTCAGTACCTGTTATCAAGAGCATTTCTTATCTTTGACACCTTTTATCTCTAACACAGTCTAAAATGGATCTTAAAATGGGGAGGAAGTAAGAAGAAGAAAATAACATTTTTTAATGGACAAGGAGAAATTTTTAGAGTACATTAATAAAATAATACCCTTAAGTATACTCATTTATATTCAATAATCTTTATATATTTAGAATTTTTTCATACAATCTTGAAGAGAGGCTACAAAAATTGTTTAAAATCCTGTCAAATTTTACCACCTTATTTTTGGAAATAAGATTGTGAAGTAGAGATTAAAAATGATTGCTATGGCACATGATAGAAAATGTTTGCCTTACCCTAAACTCAATTTTTCTATCTGCAATATGGGAATAAAAATAAAAACATATAATTGAAGTTGATAAAGGGGAAAAAAGTTAAATGATCCTCTGGGGCATAGAAATGCTTAGTTATAATTATTCTTTCATGGTAATAATTTTATTTAATTAAATTATTTAAATCCAGCTTCATATTTAATTCCTATTTAGGTTTCAAAATAATAAAAATCCTTAAATATATTAACAGTACTATATTAATTCATGTAAAATTATTTCTTAGAAGTGAGATAAACATTAACAGCATTTAATGAATTTTCATAGTATAATTGAATTGATATTTTAATTTTATAGTTGAGGGAGAGGGGCCAACACATAATTACTTAATATTTATGGATACACACTTCCCATGGGATGAATAAAAGTACAGATAAATATACACATGATATAAATTTATATACACACATCTAATGTTGTATCCATATACACAAAGATGTTATATCCATGTATACACTTGGCAAACATATTTATACATACGTATTTTACCTTGAACACTAAAACATTTCAGCTGATTTAGGGCTGTCATTATCCACAAAATTTCTCAATTAAAAAAAGCTTACTTCTTTTATGGGAGAAGTCTTAGCATTATTCAGCCCTTCCTACTTTACCTTTTCTTGTTTTCCTTTTTAGGCTTTTCCTCCCCATCTGTATGCCAGTTACCCTCCATTTTGCATAAACTAGACATAAAGGAGAGGAAAACAAAGCTATGCAGACAACCCAGAGCATTTCATGATAGATGGTATGACGTGTGTTTTGCTTTTAGGTCGCATATTGCCCTCTCTTTGACACCAGCTCCATTCCATTTACCATTGCTCTAATTGACAATGAGACCAAGACCCAGACGGTCTTGAGCCAGTGTTCTTTTCTAACTGGTATTTAAAAGCTGTACACTATTGTATGCCTCCTCAAGACTGATCTAAAGCTAGAAAAGAGGAAACACATTGCTGCCTCTTTATTACACTAGTAAACCCTGAATCCAGAGTTGCCACTGAGCGGATGTCTTTATTAGAGCGAGAAATGTGGTGAACACTTCTGGACAGGAGTGTGGTCAAACATATCTGAAAGGCAAAGACATAAATGAAAGAAGTGCAATGTTGCCATAACTGAACTAGTGAAAGGGGAGCTGGATTCGCCCAGTGTCATGCACTTAGAGAACAAAGCCACACCTGTCTCCCTGGGAGATAGAATAGCTCCAGAAAAGCTGACAGTAGAACAGGGAGGCAGTTTAGATTGCAGCAATTGATAGATAGAGAAATTGGCTGTAGAAAGAAGGGGAAATCTGCCAGGGCCCACCTGCTTTTCCATGCTTGATATTATATAACTTAGCTAACAAACACATGTATTAAGCTTTATCATGAAAAATATTAAGAAATGTTTTGTAGCAGTATAGGAAGATATGGGGTTATCCTAGAATTTTGGAAGTGCTGGCATAAAAACAGTTGGAAGTGGTTTTCAGGTGTATTTCACTTGTCCTGCTGTGTTCAGCAGTTTTCGTTTCTATTTTCTTGATGTAATATATTGAGAAAAACAAACCCAACCAACCTAAGGGAGGCACTGACTGTTGCTGACCGGAAAAATAAAACAAATCCCTCATAACATGTATTCCTGCTGTATTTCCCGTAGACGAATGTGGGGCTAAGGAGTTTTATTTCCTGATAGGTGGTACTATAGGTAACTTGGCGACAGACATCACTGAGGAATGCAAATGAAAACCTAAGACTCTAGGCCCAAATTAAAAGAGTTCCTCACCCAAGATTACAAAATAAGGAAACATTGTCATATTTATCCAGTAGTGCTTTCTTCAGGGCAGAGAAGATGACTTTGAATACACTATCCTCATTCTCCTGTGCCAAGGTTTGTTTTTGTTTTCTTTTAACTTTTTTTTTTCTTTCTGCATGTTGGGCTAAGCTGTCCTTTTCTATTTCTTTCCATGTCTTCTCTCACTGAGTTTTCCTTGGCATTTTTTTCATATTCTCAGCCATTTCTTATTTAGAAAGTAAGGAGTTCAAAAAATTTTAACTGATTATATTTTTCATAGGAATTTAGAACTATTATAGTTGCGTGATAGCCTCACCTTATGGTGGTAGCATTATATTGCCACTTTCCATCACCTGCCTCTAGGACCCTGCTTTTCCAGTTATAATTAGCAAAGATTGATGTTGATATTTGCTTTAGCTATTTTATAGTGGCTTTAGTGAAACTTCTCTGAACTCAAATGAGGACCAACTGTCCAAAGAATCATCATGTGGATAGTGTCATCGACTAGCATTTTAAAATATTTTGGAAGTGTTGGCAAGATACACCCAAGGTTCCTTACCATTAACTTTCTCAGCCTAGTTTCTCTCAGTTATTTGTATTGGAATTTACCCCCACAAAAGTTTAGCACTTTTTATTTATTTATTTGTGTATTGTGTATTTATTTTTAGCACTTTTTATTTTAAATGAAATATAAAGAACAGGTGAAATTTTGTTTTACTGAAATATAATTTATATGTCATAACATTCACCCATTTTGAGTACAGAATTCACTGGTTTTTAGTAAATTTCCAGAGTTGTACAACCATCACCTCAGAGGATCCTTCATGACTGATACAGTCCTCTCCATTCCCACCTCCAGCTCCTGGAAACCACTAATGTGTTTTCTGTCTCTAGGGATTTGCGTTTTTTGAACTTTTCATATAAATGGAATCATACACTATGTCCTTTACATCTGACTTCTTTCACTTAGTGTGGTGATTTTGAGTTCATGATGTAGAATGTGTCAGTAGTGTCTTCTTTTATTTTAATTTTTTGAGACAGGATCTTGCTCTGTTGCCCAGGCTGGAATGCAGTGATATAATTATGGCTCACTGCAGACTTGACCTCCAAACTCAAGTGACAGGTGTGCGCCACCCCTCCCAGCTAATTTTTAAAATTTTGTTGTAGAGACAAGGTCTCACTATGTTGCCCAGGCTGGTCTTAAACTCCTGGACTCAAGTGATCCACCATCCAAAGTACTGGGATTACAGGTATCTTCTTTTTATTACTGAATAGTATTCCTTGGATATAGCACATTTTGATTATCAATTTACTAGATGATAAACATTTGGATTGTTTCTATTTAGGGAATAACATGAATAATGCTGCAATGCACATCCGTGTATGTATCTTTATGTAGGCATATGTTTTCATTTTTCTTTGATAGGAGTAGAATTATTGGTTAATGTGGTAAATGTATGTTTACATTTTTAAGAAACTAACAATCTGTTTTCCAAAGTAGGCTTACCATTTTACATTCCTACCAATGACATACGAGGGTTCTGGTTTCTCTGTGTCTTCACCAACATTTAGTGCTTTCTGTCCTGATTACAGCCACTCTAGTGGGTGTGAAGTGGTATCCCATTGTGGTTTAATTTACGTTTCCCTAGTAACTAATGATTTTGAACATCTTTTCATGTGCTTATTTGACATTCAGATGTTTTATTTGGTGAAATGTCTACTTAAATCTTTTTCCCATTGTTTAAACGGGGTTTTTGTCTTCGTATTAAGTACTCTACATACTCTGAATACAAGTCCTTAATCAGATATATTATTTGCAATTATTTTCTCTCGATGTGTGGCTTATCTTTTCATTTTCTTAATGGTGTCTTTTGGAGCACAAATGTTTTTAACTTTAATGAGGCCAAATTTTTAAATATACATTATATATACACGCACGCACACACACAGACATTTATACAGAGAGAGAGAGAGAGAGAGAGAGAGAGAATGCTTTTGGTGTTGTGTCTGTGAATAAATACCTTGCTTACCCCAAGGCCACAAATATTTTCTCCTAGAGGTTTTATGGTTTTAGTTCTATGATCCATTTTGTATCACCTTTTTTTTTTTTTAAGAGGCAAGGTCTCACTGTGTTGCTCAGGCTGGAGTGCTATGGCTATTCACAGGCTCAATCACAGTGCACTGCAGTTTTGAACTCCTGGGCTAAGCGATCACCTACCTCAGCCTCCTAAGTAGCTAAGACTACAGGTGTTCACCTGAATTTTCTGTATATAGTAATTTTATTACTTTTAAAGATAGTTTCATTTTACGTTATTGTGCTCATTCCCACAAATACACCTGAATTTATCTTTGGAAAAGTTCAGAAGACATGTAGAAGGGTTTTTTTTTTGTTTTGTTTTAGTTTTAGTTTTTTGGGTTTTTTTTTTTTTTCGTATCCCTGACCTAATCACAAACAGCACCACCTTTTGGTTCATGTTTACACTTGCTTTTTACAATAGCCATCTACCAATAGCTCACATTTTTCCTTGAGAGGACATTAAATTTCAGAGAGATCTGAAACCTTCCTGAAGCTTGTGAATAATTTAAAAGATTGAGCAAAGTAGTCTTTAGAGTCAGTGTCCCAACAATGAATATTCAAGTAAATTGTGAACAAGAAACTGAGGATCATCATGTGAGAGTGTGACATCACATCTGAACCTACGATTAATGCCTGCTTAATATCCCCTTTTGTTTAAATAGAATGCAATATTCAATTATTCTGGAAAATTGATCACAGTAAATCATTGATTTTAAAAACTTCAGAAAATTTTCTTTAAAACAGTACTCAAAGAAGTATAAATGTTTCTTGAGAATTGTACATCAGTACCGTGTGGCTCAACAAAATATGTCCACTCCTGACAGGTCATTTTTAGAAACAGGGCTTTATGGGCAATCAGCTACAATGAGAAAAATGCCTGAAAGATAATACATCTCGGCATCTCCATGTCAATGAAGTGAAAGCTTTTCTGAAAATGAAATGGCCTTCTTTTAGAACTCTGGAATCCTAAACTACAGACATTTCAGGAACTATTTTGGCTGAAAATGATAGGAGAGATTTTTCTTTTTCATAATTTTTATTACAGTGGAATTGGTTTTTGTATTTCTAACAGTTTGACAAGAGCTAATTACAATGCGCTCATCTGTTTTGCGGACTAATTTGAGCCATCGGGCATCAACACCATAGACATGCAGCAGCATTGCAAATGATACGCATGCTTCCCTTGCTCCAAGAATTTGTACTTGCTATAAAAGAAAACAGATTTGGACAGCCCTGAAAAAGTCGGGTTTGGTTTGAAGAAAACATTTCAGAATTACATTAGAGCTGGCCTACAAGTGAACTAAAAATACCTGCTCATCTCAGTGGTCTTGGCCCAGGGCCTTTCCTTTTACTGTAAAAGTCAGGCTGTTTGAACAGTTGGAGTTCGGCTTGCTTGCTGTCTAAACTAGTGTTCTCTGATAACTTCTGTTACCATTGAAACACAAGCCCCATTGCATTTAAGAGAATGTTTAGAGGTGTGGAAAATAGCCAAGAGAAATGTATACTTAGTGCTCAAACCTTTAGGCTTCCCGTGCAGTAACTAGACCACTTAGAGCTGTTAAGAAATAAATGGGAGAAAGACATTCATCAGTAAACATTACGCAGCAAGGGTAAAAGATGGAATGGAGTAAAGAAGGCTGTTAAAATCAGCCTAAGATGATTATTTGAATTGCAAAGAGAAATGTTCAGACATAGCTAGAGCTGCTAAACATAACTCTTGAAGTTTTTCCAGAACAGAGGGATTGGGGGAATGAGACCAGTGAAGGAGAAAATTAGAAAATTATAAGACGGAATGGGAGATGAAGTTTCAGAAGCTAGTAAATGATAGCTGAAATGTATGATATTATTAGGTCTTAAATCTATTTATGAGGGTGAAAATTTAAAAACACACTTTCTGACTTTGGCTCTGTGATTTTAAGATTTAAATGAAGATATTAAACCCAGACAAAGAATAATCAACAATAACTGCAAGGTTATATCATGAAGGATAAAAAAGAAAGATCAGAAATCAGTAGCCCAGGGAAGATAGTCGTGATAAGTTGGATAAGTCTGAGTGAAATAATTTGAGTGGAAAAAAGTCAGAATGCTACCAAATATCCCAGAACTTGGCAGAATGCAACACTCTGCACATCAGCTACTATAAAAAAGGAATTACCATAATTGATCATCTGCTTTTCTAAAGGCATTCCTGTTCAGTGAATTAGAGCTGGAGGTGTAAAGACTGAAGGACTAATTTTTAAAGTAACTTGTATCACAGACTTTACTAACATGTGTTTGGCTTGTTAGATAGCTGGGTATCCTATTTTCTGGCACAGTATAGAGAACAGAGGGAGTTTCCCCCCATGAGCAACTGAAGTGCCAGCTGTTGCCCTAAATATTGTACCTGTTCAGGATGGAGATAGCTTTAAAGCCAGATTTCAAGCTTAGGGAAATTTTACATTTTGTACATCAGCAAACATTGGTGTAAGATTTGTGTGTCTAGATATAGCATTTATATACACAAAGGGGAACTGATCAAAAATTGATTTCAAAAATAGGAGTGGTAACATTCATTTCTTTAAAAGTTTAAAAGGAAACTGCTTTTAATAAGCTCTAATAAATCTTTACCTCACTTCTAATGCCTTAGAAAATATATAGAAATTGTCAATTTCTGTAAAATATACTTAAATAAAAGATCACAGTGAATCTAACAATTTTGTTAAACAATAATTTAAAAACCTGAAAGACAGGAAGGAATATCAGAACATCATGTAATGATTAGACTATCATGAAAAAGTTATCTTTTTCATTGGAGGCATAAGAAGAAGAAAAGCTAAAACACAACTGAGATCCAACATTAAAACACTTTTTTTTCTTCCTTAGAAAATAATTAAAGCATGGACTGTTAGTTACCTAGCATTAGTGAGATAGTCGTGGGTCTTTCCAGAAAAAGTTGGATCCTGGGAAAACGGGGCACTAGAGAAAGGCAAGCTTCAGTGAGTTTAACAGCGTTAACTCATTCTTAAATGTTTCTTTAATGTAGTACTTGAGCATTTTTTAGAGTGATTGTTACTTGATTCCAGCAACTTCCTCACAGGCCACATAATATCAATTCCTCTTAATTGGTCATTTAAAATAATAAATATGTGCTGATCTGTAGTCTGCAAGAATGACTGTGCTTGCAGCCTGATTTTGAATGAGCTGAACTTCTGTGAATTACAAAGCTGTTAAAATTAAAACATCAACTGTGTTTGATACCGTGGTAGGCATTACAAACTACAAAGGTAACAGACTAATTTCTAATGAAAGGGACCTTGGAGAATCAACATTCTCCAGGCATCTATAAGCATTTGTCACTTTCATTCTACATCCAAACTTTTACTAACATTAAATTCACAACATTGCAGGGATTTCTTATCAGTTATTCATGTGTGGTTATGTGATGCTCAAGTTGGACATACTCTGGGCTTTACATTTTGGAGTTGTCAGTGTTCTCAAAGCAAAGCCAGAGCCTTTCATCTCTGACTTTGATAAAAATGACACAAATTATCAGTACAACTTGTAAGCTGAAAAAAAAAAACATTTAAATAAATAACTTCCCAAGCCTTCTGGCTGGCAGGTTCTATTGATATAATATCTCCATCAAGGAAAGTAGTGTGCATTATGCTATGATTAGTTGATAGCTCCATCTTTAAGGCTGTTTGGGTCCATTTTGTTGTGGAGATTCTTCACTAGGTGCTTTTGTGGCTTGTATGTAGCACATCTTCAAATGAGTCCTATCTAGTTGTCACACTTGCTTCTTTAATAGATAGAGTCAAGCTATGTTTTTCAAAAAAGCATTGATGTACTAAGATTGTAGACTTTAGGTTTCAGATAGCAACTTCAAAAACCCAGCATACATTTTCACAATATAAAGAATTGGAACTTTCTGATGTATATTTGTTCATCCTAGTAAATCCAAAGAAACAATGTTTTTTCAACACCACCAATAAATAAAGTTTCAGTATATGTATTCAAGTCACAGCTTGCCAATAAATCAACCAATTTCTCACTTTTTTTCTACTCCTTCCCATATACCTCATCCTGTTACCAGAACAGAGATAGATAGTTCTTTTGACACACTTTGCCTACTCAATATAGAGTCATTTGGTAGATAGTGCACTTTGATTTTTTTTCCTCTACACATAAGAAACACACACACAACAAAACACAACAGATCAAGTCTTGTCAGTTTGGTATCTGGTTGAAACTAGTCAAAAAGAAAGCAATTTTCATTCTAATTAAGAGAAGGGAGAGATGCCACTGTACATGAGGCTCTTTTGAGCATATTAATGCTCCCTGTATCATTGTGGCATGATCACAGGAAATAGCAAAATAAATTGGAAAGATTCAGTGGGTCTAAGGTAGTCATCAATTCCCTGCTACCGTGTACTTTAGAAAATTGTCCAAACAAAGCAAAGCCTCTCTTCAGAAGAGCAACACATCATACTTTAAAACCACCTTGAAAAGGTTATCGTTATGCTAGGAATTAATTAAGTTCACTTTGCCTATCTCCTCTCCCTTGTTGAATGGAGGTGGTACAAAAAGCTTTAGTGGAACCAACCAGAAATAAAGACCTTTGAACAGGTGGTGGTGCCATCTGGCTATTTAAATCAAGGCAAAACCACCTCCTTCCCAGAAGACTAGGTTCTGAAGACTCTGATGATGTGGTGGAGCCTGACTTAATTTGAGTGAGTGTAAATGGGCATAAGGGGTTCACCTCCAGTACTTTGGGCATGTTTTAAAGAAATGTTAAACATTAGTAGGAGAATCTAGTTCAAATGCTTATAAGGACAATTTTTTCTCTGCTACTGACTTACTCTAAGTCATAATTCATGCCATCACATAGGAAATATACCTAGCTTTTTTTCTGTATACACTTGTATATACACATATAGTTTCTTCTTTTGTAAGTTAATTATAGAATATTCTATTATCTATATGAGAAACAGACAACTTTTCTCAAAGAGGAGTGCTTTTAGCATTTGGGGCAGGAAAATTCTTCATTGGGTATGACTGTCACACATATTTCAGAGTGATTCACTTTGGCTTCACCCGCCAAATGCCCAGTATTTCCCTTCTCCCATCCTAGTCATTGTGACAACTAAAAACATCCCTGCATATTTCCAAATGTGCCCTAGGGAGGAAAGTGGCAGCTCAGCATCGAAATGTTTGAAAGTTGATCCTCCTTCTTTTTATATTCCCTTTCTTGTGCCAAAAAGGATTTAAGGAGGCAATTGGTGGGGTTAATTCACAAACAGTGCTTTCATTGGCTTCTAACTATCCTACTCTTCAATCAAGTTTGTAATTCAGAAATTTTACCTCTTTGCCAACTCTGATGATGGCTTTTTCAAAATGAAAAGCAATATATTTTAGGTCTCACTTTACCCAGCTCTCTTCTTTAAGGCCAATCTTATTGGTAGAGGTAAGATAATTTCCTGTTAAGTATTCATTACTATAATCAGTTTTTATATATTGATAAACACCTTGAATTTTCCCCCCAATCATTGCCTAGTTCCTCAAAAGGCATATCCTGTGTATTTGTTATCTTTCTAATTTGAGGTCTCTCTCACATCAAGAAACATTCTCATACCAAATGTTCTCTGTTAGGACCCAAAAAAGTCCTTCCAGATTAACTCTTCTAAGCATATACGCACTTTTGGCACATTTCTTCATTCTGTTTTTTCTGAAACAGATATTGTCGAATGATGAACTATACAGGAAAACATTAAGGGGTGAAGATTGGGTAAAAAATGGGTTAATACTGTGAAGGTCTGAGTGTAAATGTGTGTTAAGTTTAAGAAAAAAATGAATTGAAATTAGGAAGGAAAAGGATTTTCTAAAAGGACCGTGAAATAATTAATTGTTTTGTAGGAGATGGCCTTTCCATGTAGGCAGAAAATTTTTTCTTCACTTCTTTCTGAAGAGACAGTCAAATAGAGAATCTCATCTCTTAATTAGAAAGAAAAATACTCATCAAACACATCTCATCACTGGAGAGCTAATGATCCACAGCTGTTAGTCTGAAAGGGCAGGCTTTTTTCCTGAACAGTAGGAAGTGTTAATCATTTTGGATGAGATTTCTTTTTAAAATATACTGTAGTTTGCAAAAGAATAGGATATTCAATATTCCAACTTAAATGATTTTTTTTGAAGTGGGCTCCCCCAGGGATACTGTCATGTGTCGCACTGAATGATCATTGAATGCAGGCATCTTCCACTGCACTTCAATGAGAGCATCAATTGATGGGATGATGTGAATGGCCCAGTCCTGCCTGAGACTCATAAAACCCCAGGCTCAAAGAAATCAAAATCATGCATGTCTTGCACCTCCTAAGAAATGGTGTTGCTATAAAAATCTTAAAATTTGGAATTGCTCACTCTACTTTGTATAGTATGCCTTGTTTCATATGACTGAAAAGCCTTGCCCCACCTTCACTTAACTTCTCAGCAGAACAGATTTTTGTTTGTTTGTTTAATCTTTATTTGAAAAAGTAGGACTTTTTTTTTCTGTAAAAATGTAATTGGCTCATTCAGTTTCCAATCTTTGCCTTTACAGCCACCTTGCTAACCTCTTCTAAACATTTTGGACAGAAGAAAACCCCACTTAATAGAAATCTTATGAATAGCCAAGTTTTGATTATTCAGAGTCGTGTAAGATGGTGGGAAAAAAGGAAGAATAAAATTGGCTCCACAAACCTCATTTCCGCTGTTAGTTTTTGACCTCTTTGCCATACCAAACCTCTACCAGAACACCTAAGAAGTGGCATTCCATTTCTTTGTACTGACGCAAGAGTAGTTATCCTAGAGGAAGGGGGAAGAGAAGAAAAAGATATGGAAAATCTACAATTGGATAATCAGTACCTAAATAATTGATACCTTTAAAACATCAACATTCAATCTAAGACCATTTACTGTAGAGTCAGTGGAGCTTCGTGGGAACAGCATACTAGATTAGGAAGGAGAAGACTTGGCTCTGCCACTCAGACTTGCTTCAGACAAGTCTCAAACTCCTAAGCCTCAGTTTCCTCCTTTGTAAAAGGAAGGTAATAGTCCCTGCCCTCCCAGTCTGCCTCTCAGGACTTTTTCCTTAAAGTTCTCTCTGTGCAATATGATATGATATAAGATACTTGTTAGGAGAAATAGTGTTACATATATTTTTTGAGACAGGGTCTTGCTCTGTTGCCCAAGCTGGAGTGCAGTGGTGCAATCACGGCTCACTACAGCCTCAACCTCCTGGGCTCAAGAGTTCCTCCTGCCTCAACCTCCTGAGTAGCTGGGATCATAGGCATATGCCACCGGGCCCAGCTACATTTTTTTGTTTTTAGTAGAGACGAGGTCTCGCTAGGTTACCTAGGCTGGTCTTGAACTCCTGGCCTCAAGCAATCCTCCTGCATCAGCCTCCCAAAGTATTGGGATTACAGGCATGAGCCACAGTGCCCGGCCTATTTACCTTGTGGTAAATTAAAACTTTTCAAAAAAAAACCCTCATTCTGAATATTTATGGTTAAAATTTAGAATGTTTTTAAAGCCTGACCCAAATGGATACTTCAAAATTGCATATTGTAATGTTGCCACTAATATCATAGGCAAGATAATACTGATTTAGATAAAAGATTTTTGAATTTAAAAATGAACAAAGACTATGAACAAGAATTAGAATTCATGAAACTGCTAATTCCGAACAAGCTTTTTTTCATATATAGGGGCATAATAAGATTGTTAAAAAATTGTTAACATTTTAATACTGAATTGTTTTAACTTGAGTTCACAGAATCTTTAATGTTTCGGCCATTTACTAGTAATAATGAATTTTTGTAAAGATCTAGATTTTTTTTGTTTCAATTATTAGTAAAGCTTTTAACTGGAACCCTTCTGTTTAACTCTTAGGATTTCCCACCAAAAACTTCTCCATTCCTCACCAAATACAGTTCACCCTAAAGAACACCACTCGTCTTCTACAACTGCTCAAAGAGCAATGATCATATTGACTTATTAAGTTTATAAAGTCTGTGTAATTTTCTTAAAATTAATTTATAATTTGAAAAGCATAGGCCTGGTGTGGTGGCTCACGCCTGTAATCCCAGCACTTTGGGAGGCCGAGGCGGGCAGATCACGAGGTCAGGAGATCGAGACCATCCTGACTAACACAGTGAAACCCCATCTCTACTAAAAATACAAAAAATTAGCCGGGCGTGGTGGCGGGCGCCTGTAGTCCCAGCTACTCGGGAGGCTGAGGCAAGAGAATGGCATGAACCTGGGAGGCAGAGCTTGCAGTGAGCCGACATCGCGCCACTGCACCCCAACCTGGGCAACAGCAAGACTCCATCTCAAAAAAAAGAAAAGAAAAGAAAAGAAAAGCATTACATTAATAATATAGTACTTTGTGATGAAGCATCTTCACATGTATCACTTGCTTTTCCATAGCCAACTTGTGAAATGGGCTGGTGTAACCATCTCCATTTTATAGGTAAGAGACTAAAGGAAAAGAGAATAATTGACTTGCACAGGGTCCTATGATGATCAAATAGCAGAAATTGAACTGAAATCACTTCTTTGGGCTTCTAGTCGAAACTGTATTTTACCCTACCACATTGTCTCCTTGGAGAGAGAATAATATGTATTAGTGAGCTTTTGCTGTATAACAAACCACTCCACAATTAGTAGCTTAAAGCAACTATCATTTATTTAGTGATGATTTTGTTAGCAGTTTGGACTAGGCCTAGCTCTGGGCTCACTCTTGCATCTTTGGTTGGCTTCTTGGTCTGTCAGGTGGCTTTGCTTTGGATGCTGTCTGGCTTTCAACTGGGGTGATGGAGGCAGCTATGCCCCATGTTTTTTTAAGCCTCTGTTTTCATCATATTTGCTACTCTATCCTTGACCAAAATAAGTTATGTGCCTAATCTCAGTCATTGTGGGAGGCTATTATAAAAGTCATGGATACAGGGAGACATGGAAAAATCGGGGTCATCACTGTACTCAGTCACCACAAATTAAATATGAAAAACTGAAAGTGGCACTCATTTCATCATCTCTTTCTATTTAGTTGGCATGGCTTCTTTAGCATAGCTCTTATACTTGAAACAATCATTAGCTATGGATTCTAAGGTAGTATACAAAAAGTGATAAGCTGCTAGAAGGGCCAAAAAAAATTATATGTAGTGTAAGCCAATCAATTCCTGCTTGTCAGAACACCTAATGCTTGTTGAGCATCTTATAGATGTCAAGCATCGGCTTAATTGCTTCTCAAATCTGCCAAGTAAATAGTATCATTTTCACTTTTCAGACGACAAAACTAAGAGAAATCTAGTAACTTGCCCAAGGTCCCAAAGCTGGTGACTAGAGAGCTTGGATGCCTCTAGGCCTGATTCAAACACCGTTCTCTTTCTACTGTACCACACTGCAGCAGCTTCTTGAGGGATCCCACAGTCATGGCTAACGGCCCAAAGCCAGTTGATAGAGAGCTTCTAACATGCAGGATAATGAGTAAAACTCTCAATGTTCTTTTTCTAATGAAAGGGGTTGTGTGTACTTATTACCATTTGACTAATGCCCCCTGAAGATTTTCTGGTATTGAATTCTAATTGTAAATTACAACAGCCATATAATGATTAAAAAAGAAAGCCACCAAATTCTTGGAATAGTTCTAGTCTCTAATGAACATGGATAACTAACATAGGGGTAGATGTTTTGTTTGGAATTGGGCATGTATTCCATGAGAGTAAAATGTAGACAGCCTGTTTCCTTATTAAAAGGAGAGATGGGGGAGACGTGAAGAGATTATGTGACAGAGAGAGAGGAAAAAATACAGAAAGGGTGCTATAGTGAAGGAGGTGAAGGAATTTAACACTCTGTAGACATTTGTGAGTGTCCTTATCACCGCACTGTAACATCAAAAAATTCTAAAATCTGCAGGTCCTCTTTCCATGACCCACAGAGGCAAAAAGCAATTCCAGAAATGCAGATCTGGACAAATGCTAGACATTTTATGGTTTATTTTTGTATTCTGTGAATACATTAGAGATTTTTAAAATTGTTTCTTGATTTCTTTTTCCATCCCATTTTAATGCATTATTGTATCTCTCGTTTCCCCCAATACCTCTGAAAATGTATAATCAGGACCAAGGACAGATCCTTCATTGTCTTGGCCCTCCTTGGGTTTCTTCCAGCTGCCTTATTTCTCTTACTACCCTAGTAGGACACTAAAGGCCAGACCTTTTGTGTTATCTCAGTTTTTTATAGGAAAGAGGAGAAGACTGATCTCTTTCCAAAGAGAGAGGAGAGAAGAGGCTTTAGTGTGGAGTGAATGAGCTAAAAAGCTCCTTTCTTCCTTCGAGAGCTCTCTTTATTAGAGGAGCCTCACCAGCTAACAGGAATTAGAATTATCACTAATATTATATTGAATAAATGATTGGCTGTTCTACTTTCAAACATCTAATATTTCATAACATATATGTTCAATAAATACATTTTTATTGTTAATCTGTGTTCATGTTCTTTAACCTTTTGAAATCTTCATTTAGGTGCTGAAAAAGAAAAATAAATGCTTTTGTATTTACAACTTATTCAAAGCTCTCATGTTTTAAAAATATATATTTTTTCAATAGTAGGAGCTCCTCACTCAATTACCCAAATATTAGATTCTTAAAACCACAATAGAAAAGGAGATGGTTTTTCTATTGCCAGAATTCCTAAAATGAATGTAATTTCTTTCTGTGTCTCTGTCTTCTGTGTCTTTCTCCAATCCATGTTCTGGTGCCCATGTTATTAGGACATATAAAAATACCTTAGGCATTTATGAGAAGTGTGTGTCAGTTCTGAGTGCTATATTTTAAGAAAGTTATTGATGTATTGATTTGGATATGGTAAGAGGAAGATGACTACAATGGGGAAGTGCCTAGAAACCATAATCTGTAACTGATGCTTGAAGCAAGTGGTGATGTCAAATCTAGAGAAGAAGAATGCATGAAAGATGTCTTGATTGCTTGCAGGATTGTCACCTAGGTAGTTTTTTCTGTGGATGACAGGCCTGCAGCTAACACCAATCCATGGACATTACAAGGAAATTCATTCTGAATAAGACGAGGACCCTAACACCAATGAATGGACATTACAAGGGAAAACATATCTGCTTAATAGGTTAAAAAGATTACAATTGGTCATATTTAGCAATGGGATAATCTGAGTCCCATCCATGACGCCAGAACACACTAAGTCAAATGAATGCCCTCAGAAAAGGAACATAAAGGAAGGTCCAAGAGAAAAGACCATAATATCCAAAATAGTTCATGACTGCATAGCCAAATGGAAAGAAAATCTTGTCTAGAAGAAGTACTAAGGTAGACTTTTTTGTCAGAGGGAGAAATTTGTTAGTAGTATCCCAGATTGTAACTCTGAATGCATTTTCTTGAAGTCACTTGGTTTTATATAGTAGATCTATAGAACTTTTGCTAATACAAATAATTAAATAGAATTCTGTAGAATGATTGGGGAACCCAGTGTCCATTTATCCATTAATTCAGTAAATATTTACTTATTGAGCACTTGCTATGCCCCAAGTACTGTTCCAGGCTCTACGGATAAAACAGTGAATGAAAACAAAAAGTCTACCTTTAAAGGAGCTTATATTCTAGTGACTGCCTAAATGCTACAAATAAATATATAAAGAATATGGACTTTAGCCAAAAATGATTTTCCCTTTTACATGTATTGATGTCTGTCACATTTACCTTAATTCACTTCCTAAAAAAATAATTATCTTTATAAAATATATTTTAATAATCATAACCATCAATTATTTATATCATCTTTGTATAATTGTATAAATTTCAAAAATTAAATGAAAATATTTTTCTTTTTCTGGAAATCTTCCTACTTTTCTCATAAAATAAAAGATATGGCTCATGTTTCATGTATTACAATATTTGGAACTTTTCTTATGCAGGAACTTGAATCTATAGTTACTATGTAATTCTGTCCAAAATCATTTCTTGGCTTATTTAACTATTATTTATGCTTTTTGGTGCCCACTTGGTTATGAATATAAAAGAATTCGGTAAAATATACAATTTTCAAAATTTAATGTCACATTGAAAAAACGGATGGTACAGTAATGTCATGAAGTCATTTTAAATATTAGAGAAATATTAAAGATGATTAGATTTATAGACCTCTGTCAAGATATGAGAACACTAAGGCAGAGGGACTTTCTAAAACTCAGAACCTTGGTCTCCTGGCCCTGAGGCCAGGAGTCTCTCTACCATTTCATACTGTTTAATTTTCTCTGCCATTTAAATAGGCTGTAGGCTTCACTGAGATTTATTAAGAAGACTGCAAATGTCCCATGCTGCTGTGCCTGAGACGGGTGTCCTTAGGGCACTGCCCCTAACTCTCCTGACCTATCAAATGCAAGATGTTTGTGTTATTCCAACCAGCTGGCTGAAACTCCCAGTTACGCTATGGTTCAGCTAAATCTTAGCAGGCAGAGGGCTTTCTAGCTTCCAGTATTATAATCTGTATTACTTGAGGACCTTAATCAATAATTAGTTGACTTTCTGTGTTTTGTAATGTATTAATAACATTTACACAATAATGGTTTGGGTTTTGGTTTTTGCGAAATTACTGCACACCAAGCATTGTGTTTAATTCTCACAACCCTGAGGTGGATAATCCTATCGTCCCCATTTTACTGGGGAAGAAACGAAAGAGGGGATATATACGTTGCTTGAAAGTTATATGGCTAGTTAGCATTAGAGTCAGGAGTGGAATCTAGTTGTTAAATGCCTCCTGACTTAACATTACCTTAATTTGACAGCAAAAGCCATAGACCCAGAGAATTTAAATGATCTGTCCAGGATTACAAGGCTGGTGTCGGGTGGGGGTGAGTCATACTTTATATCCAACTTTGTGTTGTTTTATAATGTAAGTGTTCTTAGAATGACTCCATCTACCACCCTGAGTTCTTAATCTAACATTTGTCTTACAATGAAAAAGTTTATATACTTGGAGAAGTAGGTATGTTAAAAAAGAACAATACAAATAGGCATTTTAAAATTTGTTTTGACAAAATTTGCTTGTAATAGCTCTTTGATTTCTATGGTAATGCTGAATATTAAGCCAACCATTTTGTACACTTGTCCGTAGCAGTGCTTTTTTTCATATTGTGAAATCTTTGGGGCTGTCTTGTGTAGACCTGGTATTTTCATCTGCCTATTAAGCTTGTTACATTGTATTATCCAAGCGAGATTTTTTAAAAGTCCCTGATATTAAATAGTGATTCATTTTTTATCATTAAGGCAGATAAACCAGGGTATTTCTGACAGTGTAGCGGAGTTCATTTTGCTGCTTTTTAAAAATTTTGTTCAACTTAACAATAATTTCACTGGAGGAGAAAAACTCAAATTTCGTCTTTGACAACGTAATGATATCAACTTTTCCTTCATAGAAATTAAACAGATTGAAAATCTTACCAGTGACTTTTCACGGGTCAGTTATATTTTTAGAAAAATGTCTAAAAGTTTCCAAGGCTTTGTTTTCAAGATAAATCTTCCTGTTCTGAAGCATTTGGTTTTGTGTTTTTGAAGTAGAGTATAAATAAGAGTCCATTTAATGAAATTCAGTGTTGACTCATCCCTTCTTCTCTCTTCTATCTCCTCCAGCTCTTTCTCTTTGTTGTCTGGAACTTTGAGCTCTACATGATACCACTGGTTTTGTTGTTACTATTGACATGGAACTACTTCTTGATAATATCAGGGAAAGATAACAGGCAACGTGATACAGTAAGTCTCTACTCTCTTACTTGTATGTGTTTTTGTTCTTATTCTGAGTCCCTCTGACAAGATCAACATTGAATTTGGCTTTACAAACCAGGAATTCTGTCTATAAATACTCAAGTTTAGAGGAAAGTTTTATCAGGTCAAAACTAACAACTCTTTGGTCCTAACACAATAGAGAGTATTCACTTATTTCTAACATTACTCCTCCTGGTAGAAACTAAAACAGGGAGCAACATCAAAGAATGAGCTATGATTTTCAATCATAAATGGGTGCTACTTCAAATAATTGCTTTATTCTTCTTATTTGTTATATCTTAATGAATCCTGATTTAAGATACAATGTCACAAAATTACTAATGATCAAACTAAGTGAATGTATTTTACTTAAGACAGATAGATTCTTTGTGCTCGGTCATTGGAAGAATGAAGGATTGATGGTTGTTGACCTGGAAATGTATATAAAGTACCTTAGTTCAATGAAGGTTCGCTGGACAACAGTAAATATCCTTCTCTGTGTCAGGGGTGTATTGAGATATCAGCTTAAGGATGAGGAGCTTTCATTTAACCTAGGGAAAGTTATACTAAATCTACCTGTCCTCTGGCATTTTTGAAAGCAGATTGTATGAGACAACCTTCTCTTTCTGGAAGAGTTTTAGACTAAGAAGCAGGAGCTGCCCACACTATAATCACATATGTTCTGCCAAGCTTTGTTCCCCTTGGATTGTCTATCACTATGACCCTAGCAAGCAACTTCAAAAAGCTTTCCCACATGTAAATAAATGAGGGGAGTGTCCTCTCCAAATATGACATTTGCAATTTGGTAACTCAATAGACAGCTGTTGAGAAGAATTTAAAGGTTGGCAAACATGAGAATCTACTTGTCCTCAGCAGATTACTATGTTTTTTTTTTTTTTACCATCAAGGATCTCTATTTGATTTATGATCTGTAGATTATAATAGATCACAAATCGATTTTTTGCCTACTACTGTGCCCATAATTATGCAGAATTATTTGATCATCAGCTTAAAAGTAGAATATAATACTTAATAGTAACCATCATAATGGTTGCATACATACCTTCAATGTAAAAGAACTTCCCGTTCATTAAAATACAAGCAAAATACACTTCAAATAGCCATGTAAGCAAAATATAAAATTCTTCAAAATAATTTCCTTTAGTATGTGACAAAGTTGCCAACAATGCACCATATTTCTCTATTATATTTCTGTCTCTCTTACTAGATTATAAATGTGAGGGAAGGAACTCTGTTCATCTTTGTATTTGCCACCATCTGTAGTACCTGCTTTGGAAATTAGACATGTTCAAAACCTTCTTTGTAATGTATATCAAACCAAACATGAGATTGCTAATAGAGATTTTAATGGTTAGGCAGCACCAATAGACAAGACGTTATTAGTATTATTGGCAAGGATTTTATGGATATATATTTAAATTGCACACTAAGAGACAAGCCCTAAATGCTATAAGCGTTGGTGTCATGGGGACTAATAGGTACTTTCATCAATTAATTCAGGATGTTTTCTGGAAGAAAATAGGACTCTTTCAGACAATTGCTTTTTTGTCCCATTTACTTCATGGCGATTTTAGAGAGAGAAGAATATCTACTTTTCATTCAGTTGCCTTGAGACAAATTTGCAAATAAGATTATTTGCAAATAGGAAAAACTGGTAATTTAGTTTTACCTTCTTAATTCTATGAGGGGGGGCTTATCTTCAATATTTAGTCACTGGTTTTGGTATTCTTAGTGAAAAATTCTGAAACTGTAGACTTTGCTTGTTATCTTCTCCAGAATATACCTGGCTTGGTTGGAAACATCCGCTTTTGGAAGAAAAATAATATATAATGTATCCTTTTGTACTTAAAATTATCCAAGACATTTTATAGCCTATTGAAAAATTGCATATCATATAATTTTTGCAAAATATAGCTTCAAAATAGTATTTACCAAATCTTTTCCTTTTAGTACATCTCCTCTAACACGCTCCTCTTTTAGCCATGGACATTTTTCTTCCCCAGCACAACCCACTGTGAAACATTCTATAGTCTAACTCTCATGGAATGCCAACTACACTCCATAACTCCCAGTAATTGCCTTTTATTTGCCCAAAACACACAGATCCACATATTCTGTTCTTTCTAGGCACCAGAGCAGCAATCACAACGTTTCATTCAGCTTCTTATTCACTGGCTCAGTTAAGACCTTACGTAACTCTTAAATCCAATTTGTCTAATTATGTGTTTGCTGGCATATCCAGCTGTGCATTTGAACCGGTTGCTCCTTTTGAAAAGAAACCTGGATTATACTTTGCTGGTTACAGAATACATATATATATAATATATATAATATATATTACATATATAATATATATTATATATATTATATATATTATATATATGTGTGTGTGTGTGTGTATGTGGATACACACACACACACACATATATACGAATTTAGGGAAAGTGTTTGTAGGGGTTGCCATGCTGCGATGCATTGACTCTCCTGCATAGCGCATAGCACTGGAAGTATGGTATTTTCCCGTAAGTCCATATTGATATCCCAGAGACACCACAGAATCTTTCAGCATGTGTGAAAACTTTACAGGATCTCCGAGGTGCATTAATCACACCATTGGCTGATTCCAAACCAGGAAACTTTCTGTTTTAGGAAAGAGAGACAGAGAAAGAGAAAGAATTTTCTGCCACCAAAAATCAAACCAAAACAAAACAAAAATCTGTACATTCAGCTGCCAAAAATTTAATTAGGGTGAAAACTATAAACGAAAAATCAAAATGACCTTCAGGTCTGTATAGCAAAGAAAGAAAAGGAAACAAAATTTCCGTGACATACGAAGTTGAAGAAGAAAAGAAAAGAAACACTGTGAAAGATGAAAAATGCATAGATGGGTAAAATTCTGTCTTCAATGTATTGGCTAATAGTTGAGATTAATACCAAACAGGAAAGTGTTTCTTTGTGTGTTTATTGTTTAAGGAGTCTTTCCTTTCTTGGAGACCTTTAAGATTACAGGCATTGAACCCCTATACCTTTTTCCCCACCATGGTGCCTATTCTAGTTTAATGAGCAAAATCAGATGTAATCCTTGCTGAATAAGTTTTGCAGCATTTAATGAGCTGAACCTGTTAAGGACAGAATAAGTAAAGAGCCATTCCTGAGGTTAAAACTGTAGACTCAGAGGGTGCCCATGCGAAAGAGGCGTGGTTAAAAATGGTATTTCACCTCTGCTGTTTCCTAGTTGGACTTGTTAAAAATAAGCAATCTTAGGTCTGAATATACCTAGACTGGGACCATGACATTAAAATTTCTAGCATTAGAGTTGTTAGGCTTTTCCAGAGAAAACCATTTAAGACATGCTTCATTCAGAAATGTCCCTGGCGTGAAAGGGATATAAAGATAGGAATGTCATCCTTCTGTTGGTTTGAGCTGTCACTTCAAAACCTGGGAAAAATTCTCACCGGCATTGCCTATTAGGCTTGTACCAACTATCCAAATTACAGTTACTGTAGAGAGACATTTTGAAAGTGGAAGAGTAGATGCCAGGAAATGGCTTTTACTTTGATTTAAAAACTACTGAACCATCATTACACCGTGGGCTCTGTGTGAAGTACTTTATATTCACCATGTCATTTAGTCCTCCTCCAAGAGAGAGAAACTGATTGTGTTAGCCCAGTCAATGGGTTGGATCCTCCTAAGTCGAGTGACCTGCCGCCATCCCCACCCCACCCCCGCCCAGGTCCCTTCATCAGTTGTAAGCAAAGGAATATGCTCATGTAGACAAGCATGGCTGCAAGAGCTCTTCCTTGAGAAAAGAGAATCAAGTCTCAGAGAATGAAGGAAATAGGTTAGCCAAGCAAACCAGGGGTCTATTGCACACCCTGTAAGTATCATTTCTACTGCACATAGAGGGAAACAGGGCCAGAAAGATTAAATAACTTACCCAAAAACACACAGAAAGTGTCAGAGCCAGTATTAGAACACAGAGCAGTCTGTCTGAAGTTTATACTCCGAACCACCAGTCAATCACATTTCCTCTTGGGGATATATCCCACCTCTCCCTGGGCACTGTTACAGCAAGTTTCTCCCACGAATTACAGAAAAGCCAGTAGCACTAACTCTACCTTCAAGCTGACACATTAATAGAAAGTATTAATTTTCCCACACCACTCACCCCATGTCTTCTATATCTCTCATTCAGGGAAACAAAAATGATATTTATCAAGCAATTTCTATGTATCAGGCATCCTGCTAAGCCTTTTAGAGACATCACCTCCTTTTATTCTTTACAATAATTATATAAAGTAAATAATTCTAAATAGTTTTTTCCCCATTTTACAAGTAAGAAAATTCAGTATCAAGGAGGATAAGTAAGCAACTCCCCAGAGCAAGTGTGATGTGAACCCAATTGTGCCCTGTTGTAAAGTCCCAGGCTGTATCTATGCTACATGCATGGGCATTCCTTTCCCAAAGGACTGCTTTCTTAGTGTCCAGGGCCTTGCATAGAATCCTGGGTGTCTCCAAATTCCTTCCTGTAAGGTAACCAGTAACCTTGCATGAATTGGTGCTGGTCATCTGTTCTATCCCAGGTGCCCCTGTTAATTTCAGAAGCATTCGTGACCAGGAGGGCTACCTTCCATTCACCAAGGTGAGCATGGGAAGAGTCCATCAAAGCTGACTTCTTCATATTCGTGAATAATTTTTTTGTGAATAAATTCAAAAATTTCTTTGACACAAAAAAATTCTTCAATGTTTTTTAAGTACACTTTAAAAGAACATTCATTTTTACTGTCATGATATTCCTCCCACACAACAATCTCAGTTATCTAATCAATGGTGGCATTAAAAGACTGAAGAGTGGGGCAGATCAATGAAATCATTCTCTGACTCATGATATGACTGTGACACAAATTGAGACAGAGTCTGCCTTGCTAAAATACTTTAGGAAATACTGAAGTGTTTAGTTAGCTCCTTCTCATGACAAAGCATTTGTTTCTTCATTTCCCTTTTAGAATAGTACTGAATATTGTCTCCCATTAGGTCTGTTCCAGTGAGAACCAGAGCACTTATCTCTACAAATAAAGCTCCTAAGAGCAGCACTCTGTGCCATAAGTGCTGTTGATTGAACAGTTTGGGATGGTCCACCAAAGAAACATCTGATTGACTTGAACTCCTATAAATCAAGCACATTTATTATTTTGTCAGCCAGTGTTCTCCATTCCAAAGAAGTCTGTGGTGGAATATGTGGAATACTGAATAAGTCAAGTATTCCTAACAGGATCTAAAGAGGCTGGCCAAAGCCAAGCTGACAGAGGAGAGGACGTCATATGCAAAGCACTCTGAACATACAGTTAGACTCTCTCTACTTCAGTAAGAGTTTTATCATTCACTGAAAGCAGCATAGACCACAAGTTTCCTGTGTTTGCATCTCAGTACCAAAAAAGACCACATATTCAGTGCTCTTAGCAGAAGCAACACTGAGTCATACAGCCTGTAAACACATCTAAAAATGGATGATCACTCTTTTCTTCTTCGTGCTTATTTCAACAGCAGTTTTCTCAGTTTTTTTCAAAAGGTCATCAGCTTGAAAAAATCTGAGGAGGACCATGAAAAGAACCAGACCTTTAGTTTTCCAACACGATCACTAGGATAAATAAGTAGAATCAACAGCCAATCAGATGTTGGTAGAAAGCTTATCCCTTGTGACCCCTCTCAAAGCTGTTCACCAACTGTTTAGCCTTGTTAGATAATCACTTGCTGTACATAGTGCATCCCAACATGTTAATAACCATCGTCATCAGGCTTTGGATTTGCACCAACAAGATTTCTACATTTTCTTCACTCATCCCAAGTCCCCCCACCACTGTCCCCTCCCTCTCAGTAGATGACCAGGCCTTCCACTTTGCAAATTTCCCTCAAATTCCAGCCCTGAGCCCTATGAATTACCCAAGTTAGGGTTGCCAGATTGAGCAAATGAAAACACAGATGCCCAATTCAATGGAAATTTCAGATAACAACAGGACATACTTACACTTATATGTTTTTATAATATTCTTAATTTGTCTGAAATTCCAGTTTAAGTGGATGTTCTATATTCATCTGGTAACTCTATCCCAGTTGTACCTTTATTCTTACCTCCAGACCTGTAGGAAGGTGACAGTTCTGAAATAAAGGTATTCCCCAACATCTTCAAGCATAGAAGACCCATAAGGAGCAGGCCCCACTTAAACCATAGTTTCAGCTTCATCCCTCCAATATTCCAACAGGATTGTTTATGTGTATGTTGTTGTTGTTGTTGTTTTGCTTTTGTTTGTTTTGGAGTATGCAGTGTTTATTGAGCAAAAGGTGGGAGTAGTGGGCTAAGGGTGAGGAAACAGAAATGAACCAGACCATGGCCATACTCTTTTGTTATCACTTTCTTCTGGACAGCAATTGCTCGCCACTTGGG
The DNA here is from genome assembly GCF_000001405.40 of Homo sapiens. NCBI lineage: Eukaryota > Metazoa > Chordata > Mammalia > Primates > Hominidae > Homo > Homo sapiens. Next base: position 94,792,537 of record NC_000005.10, on the reverse strand, counting down.
AGAGCAGGAAACCAAGCCACTTGCAAAAGCTAGCACAGCACAGCTGGATGGGAAGCACAGCTGGCTCACAGGCCTGTGTTCCCTGCTTTAACTCCTATTCACCCAGTCCACAGGCTCAGGGAAGGCAACCCCTTTTGTCTTCATGACACAACTGGAAAAGAGGAAAAAGGAGTGATGCTTCTGCCTTTGGACAGATGGAGAAACTCAGGCCCAGAATAAGGCAGTAATATCCGCAAAGCCAGTACTCACAGAGCGTGTGTGGGAATGGCACAGCATGGGATAGATGTGGTGGCCTGGAGAAGGGCAGTGCAGGCAGGGTCTGGAACTTGGCAGAGGCCTGGAAGTCACGTGAGCACTGAGGACAGATGTGCAGCGTGGTGGAAGAGCTTGAAATCCTTGCCCAAGGTGCCGCACATGAAGAGTTTGAGGTCTGAGTGTGATGCATGGTGTCTATGCAGCTGCAGGGGGCTGGCAAAGACACAGGTGCACTGTGGGTGGCTGTAGCCCCTGCAAGGCTGTACTCTTATGGGGTGCATCATCCTGGGATGGTCTTCGGGGCTCCTCCACTGGCACAGCAGACTTGTAGGCAAGCCGGTTGGCGTCGATGAGGAAGTGGCTGTCCAGCCATGAGGGCTATGACCCACCTGAGAAAGGTGCTGGAAGAGGGGCCTTTCACCCTGGGAAAAGAAGACCTTCAAAGATAGTGGGTCTGGAGAGGAGGACCAGGGTGGGGTAGCCCCAGTGGTCACAGGAGTATCTGGAGCAGAGTATACTTGTAGTTTCCCAAATATTCTATATACTCTTTCTATGCCTTCTACTGTTTTCTTTAAAATATACTTACAAATGTAAATGTATATTTCTTATCACACATATTTTGTTTTTTATAAAAATTGAATCACCTTTAACGCATTTTAGCTCACCTACTTTTTTTATTCTGCAACATATCTGGAAATATCCTTCATATTCCTGGAAAACAGCCCACCACGAGTTTTAATTTCTATACAATTTTCACTATATGAGTGTGTGTGTGTGTGTGTATTTTAGAAACAGGGTCTCCCTCTGTCACCCAGGCTGGAGTGCAGTGGTGCCATCATAGCTCACTGCAGCCTCGAACTCCTAGACTCAATCAGTTTTCTCACCTCAGCCTCCTGCCTAGCTGGGACAACAGGTGCGAGCCACTGCACCAGTCTTCTTAATTAAACACTGTTTTTAGAAATGTTTCCTTCAATTTTTTTTTTTTGAAACAGAGTCTCACTCTGTCACCCAGGCTGGAGTGCAGTGGTGTGATCTCGGCTCACTGCAACTCCCACCTCCCAGGTTCAAGTGATTCTCCTGCCTCAGCCTTCTAGTAGCTGGGATTACAGGCACCTGCCACTGCACCCGGCTAATTTTTGTATTTTTTTCTTTTTTTTTTTTTTTTTTTTTGTAGTAGAGACGGGATTTCGCCGTATTGGCTAGGCTGGTCTGGAACTCCTGACCCCAAGTGATCTGCCTGCCTCGGCCTCCCAAAGTGCTGGGATTACAGGCGCGAGGCACCGCGCCTGGCCCGCTTGAAATATTTTGCCTTCTCAATACTATAAAGAAAATCCTAAAGAAATTTTTGGGTCCCTTTCTGGTAATATGCTTTGGAAAGTCCTTGAAGAATTTCTGGGTGAGAGTATATGCATTTTGAAGGTTTTTGGTAGTTAATATTAATTTGCCACCCATTAAGCCTTTAACATTTTATACAGCTGTGCCTGGGTAACCACTAATTATCATTATTATTTCTTCTGGAGCACCATCCCTGACACTCACCCCCTACTACCAGTCTGACCCTACCAACTCATACTCTTAAGAGGTTAAGTGAGCCCACACCTCTGAGTTCCCACGTCTGTCATAAATTTGTTTCATATAGTTGCTGCTTAGGCATCCATTTTAAGGCCCGACATGAGTTATTTGAAACCTAGCAGTACCCGTCCCCTTTGGCTAGTTAAAGCTTACCCTCTCTGTGTGGTTGTTTATGCTGCAGCCCACTTGCTTCTCATCCTATTAACCCAACACACCCCACAGCTGCTGACCATGATGAACCCTAATGGTTAGCACTGGAGCCAAGTCAGCATTTCCCCTCGTGCTCTCTTTAAACCAGCCACGGGATAACATCCATGGACCTTAATAAAGGCATAGTCTGGTGGGTCCTCTTTTTCTCTTGCGTGCCGCACCCACTGGTTGAGCTCCCTGTGGCCTCCAGCCTTCCCTGGGCCTCCCATTGGCATCCCTAACCTCTCTGGGACCAGTAAGTACTAAATTTCTTGTTTTATGCACTTTGGGTTCACCTCCTTAATGTGTCTCGTCTGACTGACACACCTGAGTCTTACTTTCCTCTCATCAGAGCACTCCTAGAAAGTGGCTATCGTGGCTCATGGTCACTCTCAAGAGACAGACCTCACGACCAAATTAGAAAGAAATCATAACAATAAAAATCACAACACTCTCAGTATATTATCATAACTGGCTCACTGTGGGTCCTCCTCAGATTGTTCTAATTGAATCTTCCATTTGTGTGTCTAATCTCAACACAGCAAAATGGCTCGGACCATTTTGCTCTGAGTTACTCAAAAAATGTTTGAATGAAAATATTTTAGTCTGATCTTTCCTTCCAAATAAAAATTATCTAATTTTTATGCAAAATTACTTTCATTCAACAAATATTATTGAATATTTATAGGCACTAACAGTACAAACTGTGGTTCAAAGATGATGAAGACACACGCCTTGCCCAGGACAGTTTGTGGTCTAGTGAGAGAAACAAACAACTGATAGAATACATGAATATAATAGGTGCAGTGATAAGAGGTCTGTATACAGCATGCAGAATGTTTAGTCAAAAGACATTTAGATAGTCCCAGATATATGTGTGTGAGTACTGCATATATAATGAAACGGGATTAAATATCTACCTGTGGCCACTGTTTGTTCTTCACGCCTCAGTCTGTTGCTTTCACTTAGTAACTCCATGTTTGGTTTTAATACTTTTTGAGTTTATTGGCTATCCTTTTACTCAATTCTCAAACTGCAGTCCAACCTAAAATTGAAAAGATAAAATGGTAGAATGGTGGAAGATGAGTATTACCAGTACGTGACATGTCAGTTCAAATAGAGAAAGATGTAAAGGAAACACTTCTATTTTTAAAAGTCAATTTACTAAAGATTCTCCTCACTGGAATGCACACTTCTTGCTTTAGATCTATTAGGACTCAGAAGAGAGACTTCCAGTTTAAAGTTAGTGGTAGTTGCCCTAGAGGTTGTTTCCAGTTACTCTCATATTTTAGCCTCCACCATCTTCCTGAATTCTTCCCACCTTGCTCAGTTCTCCAGAGATGCATATAAGAATATGATGAGGCAAAGAGGTACTCTTAGTTCTTATAGAGGATTTCTTCCCCAACTCCTTTTCTATCAAATGAATTGTTTTTGGCAGCTGTGAAGGAAATCTGAAATTAGTGCTCCCATAAGTGGTTGATTTTCACTTATTTGAGCTGCAGTTGAACCCTGGAGCCCCAGAGAGTCACTGAAAAACCAGCTTCCTAAACCCCTCAAATCCTTCCATGGATCCAAAGAATTCACCATCTTGATGGTTCTCCAAAGCGTCCACCCATATGTCTGCCAAAGGGTCTTATCATTTCTGTTCTTCCAAATATCTGCCCCCAGGACTTCACCATTTCCGTAATTGAGATGTAAGACTGGGGAGGAAAAAAGGATACCCACAATTCTGGTTTGAGGGTGGATGTGTTATCCTACCGATTTCCTGATTGTTCTTTCTAAATGACTTTGCACTCTCCTCTTGGCAGAGAGCCAAACTATTCTAAACATGGGGAGGGAGGGAGGGAGAAAAAGGGGCCAACAGAAGCACCTTCGGCCTGACTCATGACCTTAGAACTAGTTTGCATTTCTAGTCTTGATCATTGTTCTCTGTTTGGTGGTGGTGGGGGAAGGGTGATGGTAGCAGAGAGTTTCATATATTTGTGGAGAATTATTGTCCTTGGTTCAGAAAGGTGACAAGAAATTATAAGACCCCAATTAACAAGCTAAAAGTGGAAAACAAATGATATGTCTTTATCTGCTTGTGGAAAGTGTTTATAAATCAGAAGTATTAGGAGTCCAATAACGCTGAGAGTTTTGTGTTCATTTTTTAAAGCGTTGTATGAGATACCTTTGTCAAGAGCATACAACTTTAAGGTGTTTCTACCCTTGTGTACATAGAACTGAAACAGTATGTTTTAGTGACCAAACTAAAATATACCTTCAAGGACATTTTTTGTCATTTGTTACTTACTGAATTTACTTCATTATACAACAAAAAGAAACTAGTATACTCTATCAGTTCTTTAAAAACTAACTGAATGTTCTGGTAGCGTTGCTTAAACAAGAGAAAGTCAGTTTACCTAAATAAAGTTTTCAAATGGGTTATACTCCCATAGGCAACAGCAAAAACACCTTTAAGATAAGAGTTACCGCTGTATCTTTCCAGTGGCTTGAGGTTAAAAGCCCAAGCTTTGAAATTCGGAAGATCTGGGATTAAATTCCAAACCTTCTACTTGTTAGCTATACAAGGTTATTCATTCTGCTATGCTTCAATTTCCTCACCAATAAAATGGGGACAATAGGTACCTTGTTGGAGTCTTCTAAGAATTTAAGAGACAATTAACATAACATGTTAAGCATAGAGTAAGTGCCTGGCTAACCCAGTGAAACCCCGTCTCTATTAAAATACAAAAAAATTAGCCGGGCGCGATGGCGGGCACCTGCAGTCCCAGCTACTCGGAAGGCTGAGGCAGGAGAATGGCGTGAACCCAGGAGGCGGAGCTTGCAGTGAGCCGAGATCGCGCCACTGCACTCCAGCCTGGGCGACAGAGGGAGACGCCGTCTCAAAAAAAAAAAACAAAAAAAAACAGTAAGTGCTTAATAGATGACACCTGGGAACTTTGCCATGTGTAAAACAGCAAGCAAGTGGGGGCTTAGACATTATATGTCACTATCTCTCTTGAAGAGTTCCCTTGTAAGTCCTGTGGAAGAGAATGGTTTTTCATGGCCGTGAGTCATTTTTCTTGGTTTTAAGCCTGTAGGCAAAGATAATAGCATTGCCACAGTAAGATTTCCTGTATCCATAGTCCCCTTGCAATGTATACGGAAGTCCCACAAAAATAAAAACTGTATTTTTATCAATAAAAGCATATAAAGAAATTTGAGCAAAGCAATCTTCAACAATTTAAAGCACCTTAGTAACTGAATTTTACAGAAATACCATAAGCATATGCCATTTTACAGGTCATATCCATAGATATTTAAAAGAAACATTTTTCTTGATTATTGTAATACAAATCTCCACTGTGCACCGTGCATGAAGACAAAGACAGGCAGTACCATGAGCAAAGAACAGGGCGTTTCACTGAAATCATCATTGAGTCCAAAAGCAAAATTCTTCTTTCTAACATCTCGCTCAGGATGTCGGGTAAGAGGAGGAGAAAGGTAAACCTACACCAGCATACCAGGCCTGGAGATGGAGACTAATTCTAATAAATCAGAATGGAACATGAAAATGTCAACTTAATCAAGCATTTAAATTTTATTAATCAAGCCTAATTTTTATGAGTGCAAATAATCACTGAAGCTGGACAAATTTGTTCTCGATTGCATCAGAAACATAATTTTAATATTTAATGGACTGATGAATTTAAATGGAGAATTATCTTTATGAAACCTGCTCTTCATAATTTGCCATTAAATGAGAAATAAAAAAAAATCAACATAAATCTTACCTAAAGGTTATTTAACTAAATGTTGGTACTATAAATATTATAAATGCATTATACACTAATTTAGCAATCACACAGTACACTACATAAAGCAGAAATGATAAGTAGACCAGGCAGGCTTTTCCTGGGATATAGAGTTCTGTGTTATATTGTGGGAAGCTCATGATATAACGGTTTGGAGGTTTTGTGTGAAGTTTCGTGAACATTCTTTTCATTCAGGCTTTTATGCTACAATTCACCATTCACCACAGACATTCTTTTCAGTCCAAATGTAGGTCTAAACCCACTAGGACTTTCTTTTGTGAGGTGATTATTCTTTATATAAAAAAGATAAAAAATATCATTATTTATAGAAAAGGATATAAGAAAAGAACTGAAGTTTTCTGACTTTATGATTTTTTGACACACAAAACATGCTCCATTTTTAAAGTTAAATTCTCTGACATAATGTCCTCAGGCCTCAAAATGTTCTAGATGGAAAAGAAAAGAAAAAGAAAACTCAAATTAGTGTCAGAATATTCTTTGCAAATGTACACCCGTTCCACTCACCCTCTTTATGACCCAAAACAGATTGCTTAAAATAGGGAGCTGCTGTAAATTTAAGTGAATCAAACCTAACAGATCAATATGGTCCAAAAGTCTGCTGGCATTAATCTCCAAGATAAATTTTTTGTTGTTGTTGTTTTCAAAGTATATTCTTTAAAGATCCCTAATGTTCCCAAAGTGTAGTATTTTCAGTACTATTCCATATATGGAATCATATATGGAAATATATTCCAATATTTCCATAGTATTTTGCATACTTGTGCTAAACTGTGCATTTACCTGAAAAATAACTTGCCTATTGCAGCTCCCAAAATTATTGATGGGGTTGGAGCAAAGGATATTTGGAAGATTGCAGGACATGCTACTCTTTAAAATGTCACAGCAGCTCCCTTTTCTTGCTTTACAGAAATTTTTTTAAATAATGTGTACCTTTTATTAGACACTTAAAAACAATTTCTAAGATTTTCAGAGTTTGAAACATTTAAAATTATGCCTTTTTGTTACAAAGTTGAGGTTCTGGAATGGAAAAATTGGTTCTAAATATAGAGGCATAAGTACATAATTTTCTTTTTTATTTGTACTCTGTTATTAATGTATAAAATATTTTGAAAACATTAAATTTTATAAAGTAGATTCGTGGTGAGTAGAGTTAGCTTTTAATTTTACTTGCAAAGCACATTAAACAACTCAATTTTTTGGCCTTTGGTGTATACTTTTTTCCCTTGACAAATAATATAGTTTCATAAAAGCATTATTATTTAAAAAGCACATTCCAGGTTAATAGTTGACCTATTTTTTCCTACTCAATTGAATTAATATGCAATATCCTAAAGACACCAAGATTAGAATTTTCCTGCAAGTGAAAAACCCAATACATTGTAAAGCCTTTAGATGGAGACAGAGTTCAAATAAACTCTAGAATTCTGTTCATAGTGCTTTGTGTGAGAATAAGAATGAACACTTAAGAATACCGAAAAGGAAATATGAAAAGAAATTTAAGAGGCTTATACTGATTATAGAATTTGTTATTGTTTCGCCTTTCTTAATGGAAGAGTTTTTCTGCATATTAAGCTGACACTTAAGAAAATAAAAGGTAACATACTTTTTGGTCAGTAAAGTAAATTTACTGTCTTTGCACCTTATGGCAAACCAGATTATACAGCAAATACTGCTGTTGATGATGCAGAAGCCATGCTGTACGTAATCAGTGGCATGCATCAAAAGTCATCTGATAGCCACATTAAAGCCACATTCCTTATTAAGAATCAGACTAAATTACAACGTGGCACTTCCCAGAATGAGCCAAGGAAATGCATTTTGTGAGAAGAATAATTGTATTTGAGTGTCTCTGTAAAAATCAGGAAGTCTTTTAGCAGTAAGTACTAATGCTTTTTTTTTTATTCTGCCTTCTTTTGTACTGCAATATATTCAGCCTCCCTGGCAAGCCTATCACACTAATTATTATTACATCTAGTGGTTCAGTTATCTTGATGACTACTGTAGCTGAAATACTCCAAGGTCAAATCCTTAATAGCGTGAATCAAACTAAGCAGCCATCATATATGCAGTTGCTTTCGAGATGTACTGGATGAAACAGTATATCCCAGACTTGATTGAATCTTATTATTCTTACAAACGTGGAGTGAATTATGTATACAATTAATTATACCAGTTTGCAAAAGTTTCTTCTCAAAAATCTTGTGAGAAGTAGGTGTCCTGTCGTAAAAATGTCTGCACTAGCACACCTATAAAGATCTTACCACAAAAGTCTTTAGCCTGACCTTTGGTACTTTCAAGTGATTTGAAATCATTTGAGTGATTATATGCGTCTTCTCCATCAATAGACATTCCATCATTTCATATCATACTTACACGTATAATAAACCAATTGGCACATAAATGCATGTTCTGCTTGGTTTATGCACAAACACAGTGATATAAATGAACTCCAGACTGTGTTGAAGAATACTACCCTCCCCAAATTCTTCCGTATCTCTAGGGTAGAAATAGGCATTTAGTTTGCAACGTATCCAAATATAAGCATCTGTACAAGTTTGGATGATCTATGAATATGAAACTAAATATGAAACTTCTTTCTTTTGTGTCAGTTTTCTTTAATATTTTAACATGGTTGCACATCTGGACAGCAGTGATTTCTTCTTTAAATGTGTAAACGTGTTGCATTTTTATAGACCATATTTGAGTAAAGCAATTTGAGTTGTGCAACTATTCATTTTGAACATAGCAAAACATCCATTTAATTCCAAGGAAAAGAAGTAAACACACGAAAGAAACTGGTTTGTATCAGCACTGGCTTTTGAAAGGTTTGGTTGCAGAGTACTCAATCCTTCCAAGGTTAACATAACCAAGATCTTTTTTGGTTCCTTTTTGTTTGAAGGGATTTAAATAAGTGGAAGAATTTACTCATGGAAAAATTATAATATGAAGTGTTTTAAAAATAATTCATGGGCCTTTTAACCCCCTCTTGTCATATTAAACATATACCTTAAATTGGTGTTAAAAAGCAATAATTAGTATCCACTATCCCATAATGATTTTAATAATGAAGTCTACCTGAACCCACTTTTCCTCATCCTTTCATCATTGGTTTTCTTGTTACTGCATCCTTCTGGTCACCTCTCTTATACATTTTTGTTCCGGGAGAATAATACCAAACATGTCATGTTTTTATTCAGATTATTGACATCACTATTAACATTTCCAGTCAAATAACATTTTCCTTGCAAATCAAGATGTGTTTTGTTGTGTTGGATTACAATTAGAAGTCTTGTAACAGTACGAGAGCTCCTCTAAAACCACATAAAATATATGGTCTATAGATACAATTTTGTTTAATTTTGGAAATGTATTTTTTAAATGTATGGCCACATATTATATTTTATGTTAATGACAAATGTTCAGCAAATATTGAATATAGAGGAAGAAATATGCTTTTTAAAATAATGTTGTCTACTTACTCTCTGGCTGCAATGTAGCTGGCATGCTGCATTTGGGGCTGTCTATGTGTGTTTTTTTAAATGTCATCTTTATTAGTATTACATTCAAGGAATAGTACCAAGAATCAGTTTCTTTCAAGACCTTCCTCGACTGTGTGGCACATAAGTCTGTGACGAGCGACATTACAGAAGGTCATGTCACTTTTAACTGCTTGCATTACATCTTTCTGATTTCCCTAGTGCCCTTCCTTTGTTTGATTAATACTACTTGCTTTCAAGCGAGGTATCAGAAAGCATAATTTGGAAAGAGAATTCTAGAGCCGATCTGTGATATTCCCCCTTAAGAAAAAAGAGAAAAAACCGAACTTCGTAAATGTATCTTTTCTACTACATGATTTTTCGTCACTCTTCATTTTTTCCCCTTCAAGGAAATCCTATGTATAGTGTATGTTGTTCATTAAATTATTGCCCACAAGTGTTTGGGCAACTGGACTTTGTATACTTGAAAACAAAACGATGTAGTGCTTATTTGGTTTTATTTGAAGAGGAAAGAGCTAGAATTTGATACCAGGACTCCCTTCTTTTGTTTTCCTTAGTTAAGTGTTAAACTCCAGCACTCTCATCCTAAATAGCGGTGGTATTTGATTTCTCTGGGAAGGGTTGCAATTTTGTGCAGTCATTAAATGCACTTCAGTAATATATACAGTTTGTTTTTAAAAGCTCAGTTTGCAGTTTCGATGTTCATTGCATTTGGCTAGAGCTCATGTCTTAAAGCACAGCTCAGCTTCTGAGACACTCTTGTCCTCAAAGCCATCCATTTCACTGGACCATTAAAGCCTGAAAATTAGTTGTGAAAGCATCATCATTTTAATTTGGAATCTTTATCCACACTTCTACCTGTACCCCTCTATGTGTTTCTTATGGTCAGTGAAAACATGAATCAGAATTTTGTGTGTCATTAAGAGCACAGAATATTTTGTCCAGGAAAAAATATATTATTTAATTTCCAAAAATGAATGTTTAAAATAGTAACTTGATGTTATTTTATTTTTATTAATAGCTAACATTTTTGAGTACTTCCTTTGACACAGGAACTGTATTAAGCGCTCTTATGCATTATCTCATTGGATCCTCAACACTGTGAGATAGGTGCTATTATCATCTCCATTTTCTAAGGCACCTTCAGCTTCACCTGAGCAAAATGTAATAGTGGGGTATGTTCGGAAGCAGCTTAAAGGCATCGATAGGAAACCATCTATATTATAAATCCTCACTTGTAGATGTTTATGATGTAACTTTAAAAAGGCACTGGAGGAGGGGAAAGGCCCTCACTAGAGCGCTAAAACACAGCAAAAAGGCCTCTCACTAACACAACACTTTTCTGCCAAATGTAAAAGCAAATGGTTGTATTGGGTGGTTCTGGCTGCACATTTGTGGAGCAATTGTGCGTAGCCAATTACCCACTTGTGCAGGGTAAGAACAGTTTGGGTTTTGCAAATGAAGAGCCTGATTCTGTAGACCTCTTTGAGTCATACTTGAACATAAGATCCACAGCTGATCTGTAAAATGTGTAAATTAAGCTACTGGCTTGTTTATGGCTTAATCTTATTTTGAATTTTTGAAAATTAATTTGAAGATAGTGGAGATTCTCCAACCTTAATGGTTAAATATTCATGGGTTCTATTCCCAGGCAAATGTTTGAAAGCATTTTGAATATTTGCTTTTATAAATCTGCATCATTGATTAGGTATAAGTCCTTCCAGGTGAACTAAGTCAGTTCTGTGAGATACATGATAGACACTTTACCCACAAGTGTGTTAAATGATATGAAGGGTAGATGATGCATTCACCTGTTCACTCAATCAACAAATATTTCTTGAACACCTATTATGTACCTGACAATCTGCTAAGCACAGCCCACCACCATCCTGCCTTCATAGCACCTGAAATATGATAGTAAGTACTGCAGAGAGGAGGCATATTATACATTCTTAATTATAAGTAGCTACAATAATGACTTTATTCACAGGAGTAAAAGTATAGTATTCATCTCATTTTCCTTGATGTATTTGATAAGAATCTGCATGGGTAATTTCAGCAAAAAAAAAAAAAATACTTCATTTAAATCTAAAAGATAATTTTATTACAGCTACAAAATAATCATCATTTCAGAAAATCTTACAAGTGTTAGGTGAATTCTTCTGATGCAACAAAATGTACCAATGCAGCTTCTTTTCCATCTTAAACCTCCCTCACAAATAGCCCAATTTGGAATAGCCTGGCATATATCACTTCAACTATATATTGTCACTATTGTCTTTGTATTTGTGATGTGAATACTTTAAATGTGAGGAAATGAAAGGTTAACATGAAAGCTTATCTGATCAACCCTGTTTAAATTTTACTGGATTATAAGCCATTTGAGGGCTGATAGGAGTAAAGAAGGAAGTATTTGTGGGTTATCTGTGTATTCCCACATTACCTAGCACTATGTGCCTTGGACAAAGGGGTTTATAATAAATGCTATGGAGTAGCTGAATATAGTTAGAGAGACTGTCAAGAGTCCATCTTTCTTGTTGAAGCTTCATTGCTTTATATGTCTCCGAAGTAAGTGTAAGCTCTCATCAGATATGCAAAACTGCATATTGCACCACTGTGATTCTTTTGAAAGCTGAATGTCCAAATGAAAGACCTCAAAATTCTACCATTTAACAGAAGATTTAAAGCATGACATTAAATTAAGACAGTCTCACAGGTTGTCAGATGCTTTCATTATATATTCGTTCATGAGACCTGGAGGTTTGTGTTTGGGTTATGCTTTTAAATCAGTTAATGCTTTTAGAATATTTGAGAAAAATTATTAGGAATAACGGAGTTCTGATATGTTATCTCAGTTTATGTAACTCTTTTCATAATACAGTCTTGGTTATTAAAGTGTACACCAATAGAATATTCCTGTTTGTATCAAAAAAAAAACAAAAACAGGAAAGGAGGGCTAGGTGTCTCTGTCCTCTAATATGAGCTTTGGGAGAAAAGTTTTAAAGTATTTGATAACCATGATTCTGTTGAGTCTATTCAGAGATACAAGATCAGGAAAAAAAAAAAGACACAGGAATTTAAAAACCATATCAAATGTCAAACACAATAAGTTGGGTCTTACTTGAATAACAACACTTCTCCCACAGTTTTTTAAACTGTAGGTTTCTGTGGCATGCATATGTGTATGTTTGTGAAGTGTGGAAAACAATTTTAAAAAGCCTGAAATGGAGTGAAGTCCCATTCTGAATGCCTATGGTTATATGTTGATCAAGGCAAAGGGAAGTTATTTGGTAAATCCAAAATGACTGTTCCATTCTGCTGAGGTAGGCTAAATAGCCGTTAAAAAATACATACATGCATATCCAACCATGTGGGTTATACACACACTATACACATGTAATTATATATTATTTTAAGTTTCATTTTATTATACTATGCATTCTCATGATATTCTTGTATAAAATCACAGAGAATTAAAATGAGAGTTTTGGGTAATCCACAAAATCAAAAAGAGAGAGGCAAGACTTGACATTTATACATAAGAATTAAAATTTGGGCCATAAAATATGTTGTTAGTTTTATGCCATAGACCACCAGCATGAATCAATTAACAGACATGGTTTTTTAATCTTAGAGTTTGGTGAAAAGTAAATTAGAAATAGCAGAGCTGTTTCATGCCTAGTTATCTAGTTCTCAATTTAAAGTGCCTGATTAATACAGACAGCAGAATCGGTAGAAGGGAAATTTCCTGATTTAAAGCATCCCCCAAATTAATATTGGTTTACCTTATGCATATTTCAAATTCTTTAGGTTGTCACAAAACATTTCACATAAATCCGGTTCTCCTAACTGGGATTTGGTTCCCTGGTTTTCATCAATTAAAGGCAGAGCATTTTCCTAATCACTCTCTCTAGATCAAATATCCCTTCTCAGTGTGCCTGTTTCAAATGTTAATAAAGTTTTCATTTCCAAAAGGTTCAAAATGACAGAACAAAATTCTCTCCTTTAAGAGCACAAAAAACGACTTCTGTTTCTCTCTGCAGGTAGTGGAGGACATGCTAGAGGACGAGGAAGAAGAAGATGACAAAGATGACAAGGTAATTATCTTTCCCAGCACTTGGGTACCTGGGGATGGGGAAATGTAGACATGACACTGTTTTCACAGACAGTTAAAAAAGGAGTTGAAGTGTTTGAGTCCAGAAAATTGGACAGTGCTGTTTATCATCCTAACAATGCCACTGCGTGTTGCAAAGAGGGAGAGAAGGCTATAAATCCTCTTTGCTTTTGTCCAGAGCTGGGTCAAATATTTTTCTGCCAAGAACAAACAAAAAAATAATTCAGCTTGTCTGGAACTTGATAGCTCTCGTGAAGATAACAGCAGTGATGACTGTTGTTGAAGGGCAAAAATTTGTCCTATTTTGAGTATTACAAATCGGGCCATGCTTTGGGGGAAGAGAGAGTGGAAAAATAGCCTGCATGAGTTGAACATGGATATTGTCATCTGTAATTTTCAAACAATTGCTCAGCAAAAGGACATGAATGTGCCGAGTGCTCCAGAGGACATTTAAATAACCCCAGTGCTCACCGCCCTTGCCGAGGTTTGGAATGGCCACGTGGTTTCTCCATTAGGAAAGCCCATTCAGAGAGGCTTATATTTGATCGCTGGTTGATTTGGGGAGGGTGACCACAGTAAATAACAGCAGTTTCTGGGACTGCTTGGATTGGTTGTCCCCTAGGGAGGGGGGACAACTGGAGGTAGGAATTAGAATGATCTTGCACCACTGCAGCAGTGGCTGGGGTTGGAACTACTGCTTTCTATGGCAAGGAGGATAGTGATGCTGTTACATCATCATCTCTGGACATTTCCAGACCTAAAATCTAAAAAGTCCTAGGGTGAGATTGGGAGGCAGAGGAGAGAAAATCGTTAGTTATTTCCACGTTGTTTGGCGTGTAAAACCAGATTTTTTTACCTTCACCAGAATCTGACTTATATTGTAGTAAAGCAGTGAATTTTTTTTTTGAAGAAAGGAGGAAAACAGTATATTTTAATTTATGCCCTTGACCTTTGATTCCAGTAAAGATGTACAGTTATATCCCAGTGTAAGAATTTGTGTGCCACCAAAGGCTGTGTCTCCAAAGATAAAATAATTTGTGTGTTGAAAGCATACACGAGAAATGTCAAAAAATTCAGTGATTAGTTAACTCTCCACATGATTTTTTTCCTAATCAATGCTTGAAGGAAAACAGAAACACACACACACACACACACACACACACACGCACACTTTCTCCCTTCTAACGCTATTTCAAACATTTTTAAATCGACAGAGCTTTTATGTGAAATTTTTCTTCTGTACATCATTTAGTCATTAGCAACATCATCAAACATAAACTAACAAAATCTCCTTCCTGCAAAAACACATATGTGCTTGTTTTTAATGTTAAATAACATGAGCATACACTTCTGGCAATAAATGATATGATTTATTGCTAAGGTCAGTTGTAGAGCTGTAGAGAGCTTGTATTTTAACTCAATATGCCAGCTCTGAATCATCATTTCTCTGCTGATAAACACTGAGCTGCCATCCATTTATGGCCGTTTTCTCTTGCTTGTTGCTGCTTTATTATTAAAGCCACCATAAAGATCCACCCCAGCAGCAGGCATTTCCCCAGAAATGTTAATAAATGGAAACCCTTAGTGAAGTCTAGTACTTAATGTCCCTGTTTGAAGTCAACCTATGTTTTTAGTCAGTTTGTTGATATTCTGTACTTCTAATCTCTCCCCGTTTTATGGCCATTTTTAATGGAGAGGATGTTAGATATGAGAAATAGGCACACCTGGTTAACCAGCTCACCAAAACATAGATGTCAAGTGGAACATGCCCGGGGGAAACAACACCAAATCTCTGGAGTAACATCTATTGTAATCTAGTGTTTGGTAGTCTGAAATTGACACCCTGCTTCTAACACATTTTCAGATCTAGTTACCAAAGTTGATTGAAAGTGAGTGCTTAAATTGCAGTGTGAATTCAACTGTATTCTTCTGTACAGGATGCCGACAAGCAGTGTGTTTTCCATGTGAAAGGACTGTGAGCTGATTTTCATAAATCCAACCCTTTTATTTGAGCGATAAAAAAGGAGGTTTTTCTTTTTTACTCATAATGCAATTGATAGCATAAAAATCATATCTGAATAAAATCTCAAATGTAATAATTTACAGTAGGCTTTTAAGTGCTTGAATAATAGAGGGAAGAATCTTGTGGACATCTTGAAATATAGTTTTTCCTATAAGAAATGGAAATGAGAAAGGATCCTGCAAGGTTCCATCTTCCATCTCGACAGGCTTTCACAGCGGTAAATGTTACGTCTTGGCTATCAGTGTGTCTGAGTGGAAGAAGGGTAATTTCCTACTTTAAAAAATTCGTTGGTTCCTTTATTTAAAGTTTGTGTACACAGTCATGGGTAATGGAATTTCATGAGAAAACAAATGTGTTCTTTGCCATACGAGCAGGTACTGACCTCTAGCTCTCATTATTTCTGTTTTCTCATATGGTATAATAGTAAGGTCAGGTCAGTGGGTCCTCTTATAGGATAAAAGTAAAAAAGATTAATAAATGTGCCAAAGCCTCACTTTAATTGAACCTGAAGCATATGTTGGAAGTATGTAAAATATGTCCCAGATGTTTCACCGGGGCCAGTGTCTTGGCTTTCCCTGATTACCACAAGGCAGCTATTAGTCCTATAACCTTTGGACTTGGGGGTAAATGGGGTATTACGTGGCACAGAATGAGAGCACCTGTTTTCCATTCTGCCAAGACCCCTGGCAGGCGTTCCCTAAGCCTATCCATATGTTTTCACTTAGCAGATTGTTGGGCGATTATGAAAAGTGTCTTTCTTTAGAGCCAGCATTGATATTAGTCACTCACAATGAAAGGGCAAGTCATTGGCTACTTGACAAGGTCCGTGTGGGCATAAACTGAAATCTTTTATTTCATTTGAGCTTAGGGTGTTTTCCCTCTGCATAATTATATACATGACAAAGACACAGGTATAAGAAGTTGAAGCAGACAAAATTGTAATTACTTAACATAATAGCTTTGTAATAGCTTTTCTTTAGTACTGACTGTAGCACCAGGGAAGACTTTGGTTAAAGTTGGTAAAAGCTAAATCATGATTTACCTGGATTCCTAGATTTTGAAGTTCTTCCAGATTATGGCTTTTTAAATATATATATATATATAATATAAATATATTTCTATAATATATATTAATATATTTATATGATATATATATTAGTTGTTTTTTATTCAAAGAGCTAATCATTATTCAGGTGAGGGTTTGTGATCCACAGACTTACCCTTCATTCTCAAACCCATTGTTCACATTTGTTTAAATCTAAAATTAGGTGGCTTCTCTTTTAATCCAATTCCATGGTTTTCACAAAGGCAGAGAATACAGGTTTTACGTGGTGAGTCTTCGTTATGAATCATTTACTTGTTAATATTTTCACTTATCTGCATTATGTAGTAGCACTATGTTAAGCCGTGCTGGAGATGACATTTTTCCTGAATTAAATGTTAGAAAGACATCATACTGAGTTCTCAATTCCCTTTGTTATAGAGCATTCTCTGAACCATCAACCACAAAGTCACAGTTTGATCTGATTTTTTGACCTGACACCAAATCCTGCCTTTGTGGTTAATAGAATATCTTAGCAAATAAGGCTTAGCTAAATTACCTAGGAGGAGCTATCAACAAGCCATATAATGGTGTTTTTCACCATGTTATAGATAATAATACAGTGGTCAGTCTGCATAATCTAGACATCTAATTAATGAAGATCAGCTTTCCTTTTGTAGTTTAAAAAGTTTAGGCATGCTTCCCATGGTGCATCCTACCCTTGTAATAAGATCCAGCTGCGATATCAGGAAGCAGAAGATAAAATGCAGGTTTTTGTCAGAAAAAGCATGGATTCAAATGCGTGGCATTCTAGTAATGTTTATTGATAAAAGATATTAAAATATTCAGCCATTTATGCTTACATTGCTTCTCCTTTTTCTTCAGCCATTATGTCAAGGTTACTGTGTTTCAAGAGAACTAGATGTAACAAATGAAACATATCTAGAGTTAGTTCAAAGTAAACAGATTCTTTGCTTTAATTCTTGAAATCTGTGTTTTCTGGTTTGATTCTCCAGCCCTAAAACATGTATATAATATATCCAAGATTTGGGCATCTCTGGCATCTCAAACGAACTATGAGGGGTTAGGGGGATGAGAAGTGATGTGATATGAGAGAAGATTTTAATCTGACAAAATGGCATTTTCTAGTTATATTCAATGAAATAACTGCACCGTGGGGAAAAAGATTAAGGCTTTGGAGAAAGGCAAGAAGAAAGGAGGCACAAGGAAAATACTTCTTTTTAAAAATTCCTAAGCCACATTTAACTGGAATAGCATTGTTTTCATTTATTTGTTTGCTATTGCTGCATAACAAATTGCCACACATGGTAGAGGCTCAAAACAACACTCACTTTTTAGCTCTCGGTTCAGTAGATCAGAAGTCCAGCACAGCTCAGTTGGGTTCTCTGCTCAGGGTGTCACATTCAAGGTAGCAGTCAGGCTGAGTTCTCACCTGAAGGCTTTGGAGAAGAATCCATGTCCAAACTCATTCAGGGTATTGATAGAATTCAGTTCCTTATA
The DNA here is from genome assembly GCF_000001405.40 of Homo sapiens. Taxonomy (NCBI): domain Eukaryota; kingdom Metazoa; phylum Chordata; class Mammalia; order Primates; family Hominidae; genus Homo; species Homo sapiens. The sequence goes on along the minus strand of NC_000005.10, from coordinate 94,774,506 downwards.
GTTGGAGGACTGAGGTCCTTGTTTTCTTGCTGGCTTTCTGATACTAGTTGCCATTTTCCATGGCTTCCTCCATCTTTAAATCTATCAGTGGAGAATCTCTGTTGGGTTGAGTCTCTCCCATACTTCAAATCTCTTCAGGAAGAGACAAGTTCCTTTTAAGGCCTCACCTGATTAGGCCAGGCCCATCAAAGATAATCTCTTTTTCTTAAAGGCAATTGTGCCACAGAACACAACCTAGTCATGGGACCACCTATTTCTTTTTTTTTTTTTTTTTTTTTTTTTTTTTTTTTTTTTTTTTTGAGACGGAGTCTTGCTCTGTCGCCCAGGCTGGAGTGCAGTGGCGGGATCTCGGCTCACTGCAAGCTCCGCCTCCCGGGTTCACGCCATTCTCCTGCCTCAGCCTCCCAAGTAGCTGGGACTACAGGCGCCCGCCACTACGCCCGGCTAATTTTTTGTATTTTTAGTAGAGACGGGGTTTCACCATTTTAGCCGGGATGGTCTCGATCTCCTGACCTCGTGATCCGCCCGCCTCGGCCTCCCAAAGTGCTGGGATTACAGGCGTGAGCCACCGCGCCCGGCCTATTTCATCTAATATGATTTGGCCGTGTCCGCACACAATAATATCTTGAATTGTAGCTCCCATATTTCCCATGTGTTGTGGGAGGGACCCGGTGGAAGGTAACTGAATCATGGAGTGGATCTTTCCTGTGCTGTTCTCATGATAGTGAATAAGTCTCATGAGATCTGATAGTTTTATAAAGGGGAGTTCCCCTGCACACACTCACTCTTGCCTGCCACCATGTAAGATGTGACTTTATTCCTCCTTGCCTTCCACCATGATTGTGAGTCCTCCCCAGCCATGTGGAATTGTGAGTCAATTCAACCTTTTTCCTTTATAAATTACCCAGTCTTGGGTATGTCTTTATTAACAGCATGAGAACAGACTAATACACCATCATATTACAAAACCCACTCCCACACTCAAGGGGAGGGAGACTATCATGATATATCTATTGGAAGGCGCGAATCTTGGCAGCCATCTTAGAATTCTGCCTATCAAAACCGCATAGACCCACCCATGCTCTAGAGCAAAATTGGAACAGTCCTTGTGTTCCTTGGATATATTTATTGCAATACTATAACCCAACTATGCTACAATAAACAAATGAGGAAAACCAGCCTCCCAAATCATATTCTTTCAAAGATTATAGGAACATCTCATGCCAGGGGTGTAAACTGAGGTATATTTTACAGTCACAGTATAATATGTCCCATTTGCTTATTATCTATTCTGATCTGGGGTGAGGGATGTTTGGACAGGAAAGGGCTATTTCTTCTTGTTTTCTCCTACTTGGGAGAAGAGCAAATAATAAGATTAAAAATCAGGGAAGGATCCATTTCTCCTTTGTGAACCTATTGGTGCTTAAACACCCATTGAACTGATAGCCCACTCACTTTGAGTCCGCAGAAATACTATCTATTTCATCTAGAATCATAGCAACATTACAACTGGAGGGTACCCAAGAAATAATCTAGTTCAACCCACTTAATTTAAAGTGAGGAGACTGTGGTTCAGCCAAATTTAAGTGAATTGCTAAAGGATATAGACAAGTGGAAGAGCCAGACCTACCACTCAACTTTTCTGATTCCAAATTTGGCATCCTTACGCTTCCTTATGACTAGGTTTTCCGGGGGAAGGGGTATTGTCAAAGTACAGATGCAGGTTACCTCAGACATGATCTTTAAGTCTTTAGGGTAGTTCAATAAGGGAATATACCTTTCACCCCAGCTAGAGACTGTTTATTTCTAGGTTTCTACTACTTTTCACTATTTTCCTGCATATCCAATCCTTTCCTACAGTTTCAACTGAGGGAGTGTGTAGTAGGCAGAATAATATCAAAAATGCCCATGACTTAATCCCTGGAACCTATGGAGATGTCATGCTACATGACAAAGAGGAATTAAGGTAGCAGATAGGATGAAGGGTGCTAATCATCTGACCTTAAAATAGGGAGATTGTCCTGGTTTGTCTGATTGGGCCTAATGTGATCAGAAGTGGAGAGGCCATCAGAGCAGATGGCAGCTGGCAGCTGCATGTGAAGCCATGGCCAAGATCAAGCCTCAGGACCTTTATGGCAAGAAGGAAGAGCTTCTGAGACAGCTGGACTACCTAAAGGTAGAGCTCTCCCAGCTGCACATTGACAGTGTGACAGGTGGCACAGGGTCCACAATCCAACCCCCTTGTTCTCACTGTCATTAACCAGACTCAGAAAGAGAACCACAGGGCGGTCTACAAGGGCAAGAAGTACAAGCCCTTATATCTGCACCCCAAGAAAGCATGTACCTGAACCCCACAGGCTCATCAAGTATGAGAAGGACCTAAAGACCAAGAAATAACCAAGAATGAACAGCTGGTACCCACTGGGAAAGTACAGGGTGCACGGTATCAGTAAAACACAAACTAACTGGTAGGGGGTGGGGACTGCTGTTGCTGGCTTTGGAGATGGAGGAAGCGGGCCACAAGCCAAGAAAATGTCTCTAGAAGCTAGAAAGGGCAAGGAAAAGGATTCTCCCCTAGAGCCTCAAACAAGAAATGCAGCCCTGCCTACACCTTCATTTTTAGCCCAGTGAGACTCATTTCAGACTTCTGACCTATGGAATGGTAAGATAATACATTTGTGATTTCCAAGCACCTAGGTTTATAATAACATGTTACAGCAGCAATAGGAAACTAGTACAGGTAACTTCCAACTGCATTTCCTATACTTCTCCAAACAATACTGTATTTTAAAGCACTAGATCTGAGTTCCTCATTTGTCATTATTAACTTCATCCCACTGGTCTATATAAATACAGCTACACAATTTTTCATATAATATGAAAACTGAAAACAGTATCTAACAAAGCAAATATTTTTATCCAAATTTCTTAATTTTGATTTTGGAAAAGCTTGTTCAAAAATGAGAGTGGGTTATTGCCCATTTTTAATGCAGTCATATACTTTCTGGTTTAGAAGTCTATATTATTAATTGGCGAATAGAGAAGAAATTCATGGTTTTCTTCATTTTTCAGCTGAAGAATTTTACTTCTTCTCAACATTAATTCCATTCCTTAAAATGTTTTACCCTTCAAAGGACAGGGAGTTTTAGTCTTATTTAAGTCACAGACTCTGAGAATCTGAAGATTTACACTTTCTCCCCAGAAGAGGACACAAAACATGCACACACACATAATACACAAACTTTTTTATGTGCTTTTTTTTTGCCATGGAAATTGAATTATTTTACAGAGACTATAAAGTATCTTTATAAAGTCATCTTTGTTGCCCTCACCACTGTTCTCTTGAACTTAATGCCTGTTTCCTCAAACACCTGAGATAAATACAAATTTTACAAGTAAAAAATAATGTTTCATTCAATTCCAAAGCAAGCTTCTACAAGAAGGGTGGTGTTTGGCTTGATTGTGATATTATGGAGTAGTTTTGAGGCAGCAATGGGCTTGTTATCTTTGATATCCATTTGACTATGGCTTTTCAGTTTCATGTCAATAAGTGCTGGAAACACTGACTTGGCGAAAGAAAACAGTAACACAATGGGATCTGCTGTGGCTTTATTAGGTGATGATTAGGCACGGTGAGGAATCCTGGGGTTCTCCAAAATCCTTGTCGAATTCATATTGTGTTGCAATCATCTTTTGAAAACTCTCCATCATTAATGCTTCATCATATTTTAAAAAAATAATTACATACTCATGCCTCTATGTTAAAGTCATTGGAAACAGAACTAGCTTTCAAAGAGTTTTCTAGTGATTCCGGCTGGTGGTGGGTTTCTACCTGTCAAGCTTTGTTACACCTTGTTCCACTTTGCAGAAGCACCTCTCCAGTCTTGGAATGTTTAGGTAGATATCTGTCTCCAACATTCCCTCCAAAGTGGCAGTTGGGCTAAAATAATTTAAATGAAAAGTTTTACATAGCTAACTTGGTAAGAATGTCCATCAAGTAAAGCAAACTATGAATGGACTCTTTCCTTTTGGGTTATTCTGATAGTTGGATTTTCTTTGCCTCAAAAAAAGAACTTTCATTTAAGAGTCAATCAAATGTTTCAAGACAAGTCCTCTGGAAAGCTAGTTAACTTCTGTATTGCAGCAGTGAATTTCCTCTTCTATTCCCCTTTCTTGACAAAAACTCTCGAAATAGCAGTGTGTCAGCCCTGGCTCTCGGGAGGTTGACAACATTCATAGAAATAGACACGATTTTTTCAGGATCGCTGGCAGAGTCGTTGACACGGCTGACACCACTGCATGTTGAGATGAGAAGCATGTTTCTTCACCAAAGCAGCAGAACCAGATGTGTTGCCAAGCATCACAGATGCTCCATCTGAACCCAGGGTGCCAAGATTTTTATTCCGCCTGAAACTTTGTTTGGCAAAGAAATTCTTCACCATTTTAAAGACATTGACTCTGCAGATTCTAAAAGAAATTCACAAAGTAGGAATTCTTTGATTTTAAGAACTTGCCAACAGGAGTTGGCTATATAAATAGAGGTATCTACTTTCATTAAATTATATACAAAAAGGTAAATATTAAAGAAATGTCAGAATATCTGTAGAGTTGACATCATTTGATGTCAGTGAGGGCACAACTTCAAGAAATGTGTGGCTTCACTGAACTATATCCAGTGGCATCTGAGTTATCTTTCTTGGTGATATGGTTCATTTATTTTAAAAGTTTCAATACAAGTCTTTTTTTCTTGGGGCAAATCCAAAATCAAGTAAAGTCCCAGAGTTTAAAAATCGACCTGTTTTTATATAAAGAAAAAGATCCACAAAGTCTAATAAATTTTTAGAGTAGGCAGTCTGAGGTATTCCTTCAATTTTATTGGTTCTGTGCTTCTATTGGTTAGAATATTGCCACACAAGAAGTTCTGTAATTTTTGTGGTCTATCATACTCCACAATTAATATAAAGCTATAATAGATATGAAAACCTCATGGGGTTACTGGTTTTTTCAATTTTTTATTGATATATAAGAATTGTACCTATTTATGGATTATAAGTGATATTTTAATGTATGATCAAATCAGGGTAATTGAGATATATATCATCTTAAAAATTTATCACTTCTTTGAGTGTTGAATATTTCAAATCTTCTAGCTATTTTGAAATATAAATTGTTAGCTATAGTCACCATACTGTGCTATTGAACACTAGGACTTAGTCCTTCTATCTAATTGTATGTTTGTTTCCATTAACCAATCTCTCTTCACCCCACCCGCTTCCCAGCCTCTAGTAACTATTATTCTACTTTTCACTTCTATGAGACCAAAATTTTTAGCTCCCGCAGATGAGTGAGAATATGTGATATTTTTCTTTGTGTCTGGCTTATTTCATTTAACATAAGGACCTCAAGTCCCACCCACATTGCTGCAAGTGATGTAATTTTATTCCTTTTTATGGCCAAATAGCATTCCATTGGGTACATATGTACCACATTTGCTTTATTCATTAAAATGTTGATGGATACTTAGATTGATCCTATTATCCTGTCTATTGTGAATAGTGCTGCAATGAATATGGGGATTCAGAAATCCCTTTAATATACTGATTTCCTTTCCTTTGGCTAAATATTCAGTAATGGGATTGTGGGTCATATGCTAGTTCTATTTTAAGTTTTTTGAGAAACCTCCATGTTGATTTCCATAATGGCTCTACTAATTCACATTCCCACCAATTATGCACAAGAGTTCCCTTTTTCTGCATCTTTGACTACATCCATTATTTTTTGTGTTTTTGATAACAGCCATCTTAACTGGGTGGAATGATATTTCATTGTAGTTTTGGTTTGCATTTCTCCAGTATTTAGTGATATTGAGCATTTTTTCATATGTCTGTTAGCCATTTGTATGTCTTCTTTTGAGAAATGTCTGTTCAGATCCTTAGCCCACTTTTTAATTGGATTATTTGGGTTTTTTTAGTTGAGTTGTTTGAGTTCTTTGTATATTCTGATTACGAGTCGCTTGTTGGATAAATAGTTGCAAAAGAGAGCTGTTTCTTCGTTCTTATTATTTCCTTTGCTGTGCAGAAGCTGTTTAGTCTAATATAGTCCTGTTTGTCTATTTTTGTTTCTGCTGCCTGTGCTTTTGAAGTATTAGCCATAAAACTTTGCCTAGACCAATGTCCTGATGTATTTCTCCTATGTTTTCTTCTAGTAGTTTTATAGTTTTACATCTTAACATTTAAATCTTTAATCCATTTTGAGGTGATTTTTGTGTATGGTGAGATAGAGGTGTCTAGTTTTATTCTTCTGCATATGGATATCCAGTTTTCCCAGCCCCATTTATTGAAGAGAGTGTCCTTTCCCCAATTTATGCTCTTCATACCTCTGTTGAAAATCAGTAGGCTTTAAAAATATGGATATACTTCTGAGCTCTCTGTTCTGGTCTATTAGTTGATGTGTCTGTTTTAATACCAATACCGTGTTGTTTAGGTTATTAAAGCTTTATAGCATATTTTGAAGTCAAGGATTGTGATGTCTTCAGCTTTGTTCTTTTTGCACTGGATTGCTTTGGCTATTAGGGTCTTTTATAGTTCCATACAAATTTTAGCATTGTTTTTTCTATTTCTCAGAAGAATGTTATTGGTATTTTGATAGAGATTGCATTGAATCTGTAGACTGCTTTGTGTAGTATAGTCATTTTAACAATATTCTTCAAATCCATGGGCATGGGATCCCTTTTCATTTGTGTCCTCTTCAACTCCTTTCATTAGTATTTTTTAGTTTTCCTTGTAGAGGTCCTTTACATCCTTGGTTAAATTTATTCCTAGGTATTTTATTTTTTTGTAGCTAGTGTAAATGGAACTGCTGTCTTGATTTCTATTTTAGCTAGTTCATTACTGGTGTATAAAAATGCCACTGATTTTTGTATGTTGATTTTGCATCCTACAATTATATTGAATTTGTTTATCTGTTCTAAGAGGTTTTTTTGTGGTGTCTTTAGGTTTTTCTATATATAAGATCATGTCATCTGCAAAGAGGGATAATTTGACTTCCTTTTTTTCCAATTTGGATGCCTTTTCTTTCTCTTGCCTGATTGCTCTAGCTAGGACTTTCAGTACTATGTTGAACAAGAGTGGTGAACAGGGGCATCATTGTCTTGTTCCAGTTCTTAGAGGAAAGGCTTTCAGGTTTTCCCCATTCCATGTAGTAGCTGTGGGTTTGCCATATAGAGCCTTTATTACGTTGAGATATGTTCCTTCTATGCCTAATTTGTTGAGAGTTTGTATAATAAAGAGATGTTGAATTTTACCAAATGCTTGTTCTGTGTCTATTGAGATTATGATATGGTTTTGTCCAGTCTGTTAATGTGATGTATCACATTTATTGATTTGCCTATGTTGAACAATCCTTGCATGCCTCAGATAAATCCAACTTGATCATGGTGTATTATCTTTTTGATGTACTGTTGGATTTAGTTGGCTAGTATTTTTGTTGGGGATTTTTGTGTCTATGTTCATCAGGGATATTGGCATGTAATTTTTTTTTATTGTGTCCTTGTCTGGATCTGGGTAATGGTGGCCTCATAGAATGCGTTAGGAAGAATTCCGTCCTTTCAATTGTTTGAAACAGTTTGAAAAGAATTGTTAGTTCTTTATAAATTGCCATAATTAATCAGTAAAGCTATCCAGTTTGGGGTCTTCTTTGTTTGGAGACATTGTGTTACTGACTCAATCTCACTATTTCTTATTGGCCTATTCAGGTTTTCTGTTTCTTCCTGGTTCAATCTTGGTAGGCTGTATGTGTCCAGGAATTTTCCTCTAGGTTTGCCTTTTTTTTTTTTAACTATACTTTAAGTTCTAGGGTACATGTGCACAACGTGCAGGTTTGTTACATATCATACATGTGCCATGTTGGTGTGCTGCATCCGTTAACTCGTCATTTAGCATTAGGTATATCTCCTAATGCTATCCCTCCTCCCTCCCCCAACCCCATGACAGGCCCTGGTGTGTGATGTTCCCCACCCTGTGGCTAAGTGTTCTCATTGTTCATTCCCACCTATGAGTGAGAACATGTGGTGTTTGGTTTTCTGTCCTTGCGATAGCTTGCTCAGAATGATGGTTTCCAGCTTCATCCATGTCCCTACAAAGGACATGAACTCATCCATTTTTATGGCTGCATAGTATTCCATGGTGTATATGTGCCACATTTTCTTAATCCAGTCTATCATTGATGGACATTTGGGTTGTTTCCAAGTCTTTGCTATTTGAGATGGAGTTTTGTTCTTCTCGCCCTCGCTAGAGTGCAGTGGCATGATCTCAGCTCACTGCAACCTCCACCTCCCGAGTTCAAGCTATTCTCCTGCCTCAGCTTCCTGAATTGCTGGGATTACAGGTGCCTGCCACCATGCCCAGCTAATTTTTTTGTGTTTTTAGTACAGACGGGGTTTCGCCATGTTGGCTGGGCTGGTCTTGAACTCCTGACCTCAGGCGATCTGCCCTCCTCGGCCTCCCAAAGTGCTGGGATTACAAGCGTGAGCCACCGCACCAGGCCTCTTCTAGGTTTTCTAATTTGTTAGTATATACTTGTCTATAATAGTTTCTAATAATCCTTTGTATTTCTGTGGTATCAGTTATAATGTCTTTTTTCAATTCTGATTTATTTATTTGAGTCTTTTTTTTTTCCCCCTCTTGGCTAGTCTTGCTAACGGCTTAATTTTATCTTTTCAAAAAAACCAGTGTTTTATTTTGTTTCTCCTTTGTAATTTTTTAGTCTCTATTTTGTTTAGTGCTTTTTTTTTTTTTTTTCTTTTTTGAGATGGAGTTTCCCTCTTGTTGCCCAGGCTGGAGTGCAGTGGTATGATCTCGGCTCACAGCAACCTCCACCTCCCACATTCAAGTGATTCTTCTGCTTCAGCTTCCTGAGTAGCTGGGATTACAGGCACATGCCACCATACCTGGCTAATTTTTGTATTTTTTAGCAGAGACATGGTTTCACCATGTTAGCCAGGCTGGTCTCAAACTCCTGACCTCAGGTGATCCACCCACCTCGCCCTCCCAAAGTGCTGAGATGACAGGCATGAGCAACCAGACTCAGTCTATTTTGTTTAGTTCTGCTCTGATCTTTATTACTTCTTTCCTTCTACTAATTTTGGGTTTGGTTTGTTCTTGCCGTTCTAGTTCCTTGAGGTACATCATTAAATTAGTTATTTGAAATCTTTCTACTTTATATATATTGGCATTTATTTCTATAAATGGCCCTCGTAGCACTGCTTTTGCTATATTCCATAGGTTTTGGCATGTTGTGTTTCTATTTTTATTTGTTATAAGAAATCTTTTATTTTCTTTTTAATGACTTCATTGACCCAATTGTTGTTTAGCGGCATGTTGTTTCCTTTCCATATATTTATACAGTTCCCAAAGTCCTCTTTTTATTGATTTCTAGTTTTATTTCACTGGGGCCTGAGAAGATACTTCATATGGTTTCAGATCTTGTGAAATGTGTTGAGAGTTGTTTCGTGGCCTAATATATGGTCTATCCTGAAGAATGTCCCATGTGCTGATGAGAAGAATGTGTATTCTGCAGCTGTTCGATTAAATGGTCTATAAAGCTCTGTTAGGTCCATTTGGTCTACAGTGTGGTTTAAATCCAATGTTTGTTTGATTTTTTTTTTTTTTTTTTTTTTTTGGTCCAGGTCATCTATCCAGTGCTGACAGTAGGGTATTGAAGTCCCCAATTATTTTTGTGTTGGAGTCTCTATCTCCTTTTAGATCTAATATTTGTTTTATGTGTCTTGGTGCTACAGTGTTAGGTGCATATATATTTATAGTTGTTGATCTTCTTGCTGAATTGATCCCTTTATCATTATATAATGACCTTCTTTGTCTCCTTTTACAGTTTTTGACTTAACATCTGTTTTATCAGATGTAAGTATAGCTACTCCAGCTCAATCTTGGTTTCTATTTGTGTGGAATATCTTTTTTCATCCCTTCACTTTCAGTCTATATGTCTTTATAGGTGAAATGAGTTTCTTTTGGTGGTACTATTGTTTTTTCATTGAAAATTTCCCACTTAATCTAGATTCATAATAAACAAGGATGCATGGATTACAGACTCGAAGTAAACAAGGATGCATGGATTATAGTGATGTTAGTTAGCATGGTGGGCTCTTATCAATTAGGTTCTTATCAATGGGAAGCTATTCTAGAGTTGTTAACATGGTGGTGACAATGTCACCTGCCTTTTTACCTTTGATGGCGTCTGTGGCAGACTGCATTATGGATATATGTCCCTGCATACTGATATCAGACTTGTCCATGTGACTTTCTTTGGGTGACACAGGCCACATCCAAGCAAAAGGTTTAAGAGTCATCCTTGGCTCTGCCATATCTCTTTTCCTTCTGCAACAAGGCTGGCACTATCCACAGAGAAGCTACTCCTTTAGCCTGAGTCCTGGAATAAAGATGGCATGGAACCAACCCATATGGACATGTAGTGTAAACAAAAAAAATAAATCTCGATTATAAGCCTCTATGATTTTGGGGGTCTTTGTGACTGCAACATAACTTAATCTAGGCTGATAAATACAGCATCTTATTTCATATCCCTCTGTGTAAATGAATGTCTTAATAGTATAATTTGACATAAAACATGAATTTTGTATAGCAGTAATCAAAGTCTCAGAAAGTTTTAAAATTTTTTTTCTTTCAAAGTTCACAGTGCTACCCTTCCTTACTTAAAGCTCAACCTCAGATAAAGGTTGAACTGTTTTGCTATTATGTCTTTCTCATTGAAAAATGATGCTTTTGTTCCATAAACATATATTGAGAGACAAGTCACTGGGTAGACACAGATGAATGCGACACAGTATGAGCCTTCCAGGAGTCATTGTGTGATGGGATCCTTGGTTAGGTAGGCCAATAATTATAATACAATGGGAAAATGTTATAATAAAGTAATGAATAGTTTTGGTGAGAAAACAGGAAGGTAGCCAGCTTCACGGAATTGTCAGTGAATGTTCCACAAAGGAACTGACATTTAATTTGGGTGTTGAAGGATAAATGAGAATGTACCAGAAAGTTTAGTATATAAAATCAAGGAGTATGTAGTATCATAGGAGCATAATGTGCAGGAGGGAGAGTCGAGGGAAATGACACTAGAAATCTACATTTAAGATTGTGAAGGCTTTGGACATCATCTAAGGAGTCTGAATTATATTCTTCAAGTAATGAGGAATCATAGACAATTTTAAAGGAGAGAATTGTTATGATGAAATGTGTGCTTTAAGAAGAGAACTTTGGCAACTGGACACAGACTGGAATAAGAAGGAAATGAGACTTGAAGTAGAGAAATATGCTAGGATGTTTTACAATAGCTCTGGCGAGAAATAAAGGCATCTTTAACTTAACAGTAAAAATGATAATAGAAAGAAACAAATTTGAGAGATTTTTAAATAGCTAATAGATTATTGAAAAAATTTATGTTGAAGAGAGTAAAGGAGATTTTAATGTTGTGGATGACCATGATGTATCTAGCTGAGATATATTTGTGTAGCACTTTACATATTTCAAAGTACTTTCCCTTCTTACCTTATTTAATATTCACAATAACTCTATATATTGGCACATGAAATATCATTCCCATGCTCCAGTATCAGGAAGATTAACCTGGCTAGTGGAGAAGTAGCTAAGACTGGAAATCAGATAATGGGGAAGTAGGTGAGCCTAGAAAGTCTCACAAAGAAGCTAAGACTAGGAATTAGTAGCTTGTCTGGTGGTGAAGAAACTGAGATCAGAAAACAAATCCTCTAATTAATTTTCCTTCCCAGAGATGTTTTAGCAAAGCCTGTTGACCCATGTAGAGGTGACACTTAGGCCACTTGGAATGCAACTTGTGTACCCACAGCCCATTCTGCTCAGAATAGACAGAGAATGTGTCCCATATGCCTGCCTGGCTGTCTTTTCCCTAGGCACTGGGTCTTGACAGCATTTGGAAAAATGATGGCCACAGGTCCATACAGAGTATCTTTTACCCATTCAGTGTGCTTTCATAAGTAAGCACAGATCCAACGTGGAAACAAGAAAGACAAATGTAAATGGAAAAATATTTTCAGTGCCTCAAGTTGGTTCAGAGGGAAAGGCATATAGTAACCATGCTTTTTTGGCTTTGATCAACCAGTCATTAGGACAATATGATGCTGGAAGAACTTGTATCATTTGAGAAGCTGCTACTACTGTCACTATTTTATAGATGGAAAGACTAGAAACCTCTGAGGCATAAGTCACTCATTAAAAGTCATTAAAGAGTGAAACAACCAGACTTTATAAACTTTAGTCTGTCTGCCTCCAAAGCCCGCCATGTTTGGCATAACAAACTCCTCAAAACTTAGTGATCTAAACTAATAATTGACCACTCTGTCATTATTCATTGTGTTGACTGGGCTCACTGGGGCACTTCTTTCCTGAATCTCTCGTATGGTTCTAGTCAGATGCCTGGGACTGCAGCCATCTAAAAGGCTCAACTTGGCTGCACATTCAAGGTGGCTTGGTCTGGCAGTTGTTGCTGGCTTCTCATACCATGGCAGCTTGGTTTGAAAAGGGAAAATCCTAAAGCAAGTATTTCAAGAGACCCAGTGGAAGCCACGAGGCTTCTGATGACCTAGCCTTGGAAGTCCCAGAATGTCACGTTTCCCACATTGTCTTAGTAGTCAAGCAAGACTTTAGGCCAGCCCAGATTTAAGGAAAGGGTAATTCAATTCTGCCTCTTGCTGGGGATTATAAAGGTCATAGTGCATAAGAATCTATGGGATTGGAGATACTGTGTGGCCATCTGTAGAAAATAAAATTGGCCACAATTTCCCAAGACCAAAAGCTTCTAATAGATGTCATGTAGCATTAAGAAATACGGAGCCTATTGCCTCCCAAGAGTCTCTTTATCCAAGATTTATCAGCACATGGTACTGGATTAAGTTATCTCAAAATTTATACAAACAAGGTGCCTTCATATTGTCAGGTAGATTCAAGTTCCATTATCCTGTGCATATTTATTTTTGTTTTTGATTTACAAGATGAATTGTCATTTTCTATGTCCCCACTAAAATATGAAAGGACTACCTAATTACTCTTTTATCTTGCTTGTAGATAAGAATTCCATCCAAAAATTTCACTTTCTAGCTAAGCTCTCCCTCAAAGCTAGCTGGGAAGCAGGAAGGAGTTGCAAAGAATCCTGTAGGAAATTCCAATCTAAATTGTAATGGACATCCATTGCCCTCCTTTGATAAAAGAGATCCAAATGCCAACAGTCTGTGTTCTGGAAGCCAGACTTTGCCTACTGGGACTGTCTGCCAAATATAAAAAGTCAAGTGATAAAAGGAGGTTGCAGAACATTTCCTTCTTAAAACGTAACAGTTTCTGCATTTTGAAAATGCAATTTAAAACTGCCAACAGTTCATATTTGGTATTTTATTGATTTGTTCAAGGGCGTTTATCATAGGATTTAGAAGATCACTAATATCTCTAAACTTTTGTTATAGGGCTGGGCATGGTGACTCACATCTGTAATCTCAGCACTTTGGGAGGCTGAGACGAGATAATTGCTTGAGCCCAGGAGTTGGAGACCAGCTTGGGTGACATAGTGGGACCCTGTCTCTATGAAAAATATAAAAATTAGCCTGGCATGGTGGCACATGCCTGTCGTCCCAGCTTTTGGGAGGCTGAGGCAGGAGGATCACTTGAGCCTGGGGAGCTCAAGGCTGCAGCGAGCTGTGATCGTGCCACTGCACTCAGCCTGGGTGACAGAGTGATACTGTCTCAAAAAAAAAAAAACAATTTTGTTGTAGAAACTGTAGGTAGCTCAGTTAGGAGCCATTTCCTATATGCCTGGAGCTAATGTTTCTCTGCTGTACATAGGTAGCATATGTGGGTGTTAAAATCAATGTTTGGCATGTTATGTGCATAAATGCTATTTCTTTGTTCTGGAGTCTTAGCCAAGTATCCTGATCAGCAATGATTTGGGAAGAGGACAGCATCTGTATTCTCTTTGTGATTCTACACTTAAATATTTTAGAGACATAGAAGGCAATATGATAAACGAATATACAGCTGTGGCAGTCTGATAATGTAAGATTGTATTGATTATCCAACAGAATAGCTACCCTTGGTAGTTTGCTTGTCACAGCCTTCAGTGCCTGGAGTAGTCAAACAAGTTCTTTTTTTCCCATTGAGCTAACCTCAGAGTCATATAGTTTCTGAATCAAGGTCCTCAGATTTCATACTTTGGCAATTTCTTCCCTTTCTAATGGGGTATATTAGAGAAAATGTGTCACCTTTTGCACCATGTAATATCAAATCAGATCAGAATTCATGCACAATTATGTCAGTGGAAATCTAATACTACAGGTTGGCTTATCTCTAGATACCACATGGAAAAATAAACTTCTACAACTGATAGATTTACTTGATTTTTTTTCCAGATAAGTTATTTGTAAGCAATTGAGCTAGAGAATGTAACTGGATTATTTTTCGTACCAAAAAAAAAAAAAAAAACCCTCAACAGTAAAATGGTTGCTAAGTATTCCAGCTCTGTCACTCTGCTTTTTTTTTTTTTTTTTTTTTCTCTTTGAAAAAGTTCCTGGATAATGAATGCAAAGAAAGAACAAAAAAAGACATTTTGCATTAGGTACATTTATTAGGAGAACTAATGACTTTAGGAAAACAAAATTTACATAAAACACTTATGTGAAAATAACTTTCATTGATAGTTAATGGCATTTAAGTAACACAGGTTATGTGGTAGTCTACCTGGCAATGATATTAGGCTGCCTAAAAAGCATTCATCTGTGTTTCTCTTTCATAATCAGAAAAAGTCAAAGCCCATCACTAATTTGAAGTCTTCTTGAAACCAATTAAAATGATTTAAGTTGTACTGCAAATGTGCTTTTTAAGTGTTTTAGACGTAAGATGTCGTAGGGATGTTGTAACCCTTTTTAATGTTACTATTTATATATAACTATCATATGTATAGTATTACATTTTTAATGCACTATATTAGCTGTCACTTGAAATTAAGTGCAGACGTGTTCTTTTTTGGCCTTTAGTTTCTCCTACATTAAACGTTTAAATAATGATACCAGTAGTAAAAGGGTAGGTAGCATTCCCAGTGGAAACTAGCTTCTGCATCTGGTGGGGTTGTGTTCAGGTTTCTACATGAAAGATATCATAATATCAGAATCTCTTAGTGTTTACACACCTGGTATCCAGAACTCTACGTGATGTCTTTTCTCGGGAATTAATGGAATCAAAGCTTATGGTAGGCATGGTTTGATAGATATGCCTTGTCTGTAGAGATCTGGTGATAATTCCATCAAAATTTGTCCCTAGTTGATCATATATCTGTGCATTTTTATGTCTTTGTGGTTTTCTTCACCAACTCTGTGCTTGCATCAGTGCCTTCATTAGAAGGTCAGGTTTTGAGAATTTAATAATTCACCTTGAAAATGTACTATAAGTTGAAAGTATCAAGCATAGGTTTTCTCTACTCAGCATGAATTTCATAGCATTAAAAAAGGCAAATCCATAGCTAAAATATTTTCTTAATATCTGTTTTTAGTGTATATCAGGAAAACTAAATAGATGTTTACTGATTTCAGATGTTTTTTCCTATTCTACAAGTCATGTTTGTTTTTCTATATAATAATTATATTGTGCAGACTTTTCTCCATGATAACAAAATTGTGCATTTTCCAAACATAGAAAACAATTAGTTTTAATAAAAAATTATCCAGGTGGGAGTCACTTGGAGGGGTTGGAGCTTATACTAAAACAGTTGATATGAAAAATTAAAATTTCTTATTTATTCATAAATATTCACCTTCCCACAATCTAAATCATAGTTGTATAGCCTCCATAAAAACAGGTAAAAGAATAATATGGTGAAAAGAAATCAGTTTTTGTCTTGTAAGAGTTGACTGACTTCGTTACCTACAGGTGCTTTTGCATCTATTTACATACCCACAGCACAGAAATGAAGGTGGAATTTTCTTTATTTTTATTTTTTCTCTCTCTCCTTTTTAAGAGATGGGGTCTCGCTCTGTCCCCCAGGCTGGAGTGCAGTGGTGTAATCATAGCTCACTGCAGCCTTGAACTCTTGGGTTTAAGTGATCCTTCCAAGTAGCTAGGACTATAGGCATGTGCCACCACATCCAGCGAGGGATTTTCTAATTAAGAAACAAGAAATCAAGATATAGTACTTTTCTCATATCAAATATGAATTATTTATTCAATTCATCCATTTGTTCATATATTCATGCATATGTGCACTTAATATTTGAGTACCTATGACAAATGTCTAGTCTGTGTATCATATAGTGACACATTTTTAGAAAAGAGTGTAGTGAGTTTTCTTTTCCTTCAGTTGCTATTAATCTCAGACATACATCTGTTGCCTCCATTTACTCCCCACTTTTGTTGGATCTCATTTTTTTCTTTTGAGGCCTCCATCTATAACACCTTACTAAACTTGTTTCCTGAAGACATTAATAACTTCACTTGATCCTCCTCCTTGGCAGTGCCTGTTTCCCAAGACTCCCTTGACCACCATTTGATATCCCCTTCTGTTTCCCTGTGCACTCATGTTGTTGTTGCTTTACTCTAACACTTTGGTTTTCTTGTGTCTCTGATGTTTGGGTACCTCTCTGTTTTGTTCTTCCTTGGAGACTAACTATCTCCTCCGTGGAGAGAACTCCAGAATCTTTACTTTTATTCACTTATTCATCCATCCATGCAACAAGCAGTGTGCATGTGGAATGTTCAAAGCACTATGCTAGCTGTTCTGAGGGATTTAAAGAGAAATGAGACCTAACTCCTCAAGGAGCTAGAAATCTCCATTTCTGCCTTTCGTCTCAAGTCTGTTGTCTCTTTCCATCCTCTTAGACATTGAAAATTGTCCCATCATAACCTCAGATTCTATATATTTCGCTCTAAACCTGTCTTCTTCCTCTAAAACTAACTTCCTTTCATGGCTAATGGATTTCTACCAGTAGCACAATTATTTTAATCATGAAGACATAAAAACTCAAATCATCTTTGATGATTCTGTCTGTAATTTGTAATCAAAATTCTATTGACTTTGCTGTTGTGATATTTCTTACTTTGCACCTTCCTCTTAGCCTCTGTTGAGGTCTGCCTTGGTATCTATATGAAATGTTCTTTCCGTTTATCTAAGACCCATCCATTTTTTAAGACTCAGCTGAAATCTGCCTCCTGCCACCCAATAAACGCTTCAGCCAATAGGAAGTCCCCTTCAGAACACAGAGTAATACTCAGTTGTATGTGTTTGTGTACGCCCATGTGCATGGAATTATTTGCTCAGCACTATGCTGAGGACTTGATGTGCGTTATCTCATTTCTTCTTCATGACAACTCTATTAGGTAGGTTCTGTCATTCACATTTCACAGATGAGGACAAAGCAACTTGTCCAAAGTCACAAACAAAGGCCGAAATTAGAAGCGAGTTCTATATAGACTCCAAAGCCCATACTTTAAAACAGCATGCCATATTGCCCTATGACCTTGAGGTATTATTTATTCATGATCTTATTTAGCTTTCACATACCTTATTTCCACAAAAAAAAAGTCATAAATTCTAGTAATCAGAACTGAGTACTTTAATACATAACATGCACAATCCTATACAAAAAGTAAACATTTGATTGAATATTGAAAGAATAGAAGGATACATATGAATAAAATATAGCAATTCAGGCATCAGAGTCCCATAATCACTCAAAGTAGCCATAGTTGTGTGCTGGGTATTCTTTAGCAAAAGAAAAGTGGCTGTCAAAGGATCTCATTTTGCCAACATCTTTGTCATCTCCCCTCTGATATTTATACCTCCCGTAATTAACCGGAATTGCATCTACTATTGCTAGAATGGTAGAAAAAGGGAGTTTCGGCTTTCTATGTGTATAATTCATTCTTATCGCCTATTCACCAGCCTCTGAGACACAGCCAGTGCCCATAATGCTATAGATGACACCTCGTTGAGTGCAGTTCCTATCTTCATAGAGCTCCACCGTCTCCTGTCAGTCACTCTCCTTTTCATTCCCATAACCACCACCTAATGTCAAATCCCACAGACCTCAAATTAGCCACCTTCTAGCTACTGTCAGCTATAACACATCTTACAATTGCTGCCAACAATCACTGAAGACTTCTTGAGGCAGTAGAGCATAGTGGTTAAGAGTATGGATTCTGGAACCAGGCTGCTATGTGATGCTGGGCAAGAAATTTTACCTCTATCCCTCAGTTACCACATCTGCAAAGTGGGGTTAATAATTGTTCCAACCTCATAGGGTTGTTGTAGGGATTAAATGACTGTATATTTAGTGAAGCTTAGAACAAGGTCTGGCTGTTGTCGGAATTTCCTAGGTCTAATAGGAGTAATAATATTGTTATTGTTATAATCATTAGCAGCATCACTGTCGGCCATGGGTGCCCAGGAAAATTGTCAAGTTGTTAAATGGAACAGAAGGTCTGAGTAAGAATAGATTTTAGAGGGAAAAAAATTACTTCTGTTTCTAACATGTCGAGTTTGAAATGTCACCAGGACATCGAATAAGGTATTCTAGCAGATGGTAGAAGTAGAAATCTAGAGTTCAAAGAAGAGGTTATAGCAGAGACTTTTAAATTTGAGAATTACCCATTAGAGATACAAAGTTATTACAGAGGCAGAGGAAGTTGAGTATGAGAGGAAGAGGGCCGAGGACAGTTCTGTGGAGAATGCATCTATTTAAAGGGCAACGGGAGGATGAAAAACAGAACATATACTGAAAAGGAGTCTTCAGAGTGATAGGAGGGGAATCCGAAGGGTCCCAAGCATGGAAACCACATGTTTTAAGAAATATATCGCTAGAATGAAGTATGTCAAATGGTCATGGAAGATGAGCACTAAAGAAAAAGTCATGAACGCTGGTGATTGGATTAGTTGTGGTCGTGGTCCTCGGAGTTTCCCTAGTGTGGTGAGAGCAGAACGCAGAAGGCAAATGAGAGGCAGCTGGTGTGAACTCTGGTTTGAGAGCTGGTTTGATTCTGAAGCGGGGAAAGAGAGGAAAGTGGGAATTAAGGAGTTGGAAGGACCTTGGGGCTCATTTTAGTATTAATACTAGAGAGGTCACTCACTCTTTAAAAGGAATCAGTGGGGAAGGAGGAATCCAGAGCTAGAAGAGGGGAGGATCAGGGTCTCAGAAGTGATGGCAGTGGCAGAAGGAAGGGGTCAGGGAAGAAGCTCCCTGGGGATCCTCCCGGTGAGGAGCACAGGTGTTGAAGAAGCACACATGGCCTCAGCTCTCTCAGGAAAAACAAAGAAATGGTCACCTGCTATGAGTGTGAATGTTAGGATGGGAGGCTCTGGAGAAAGTGGGAGGACTGGGAGGACTGTGACAGCCAGTCAGCATGAGCCAAATGGACAAATGCCCAAGTCACTGTCAAGGCCTCCCTGGGGCTGCATGACACACCAGGAATGTGTGGTCGCCAAAACGGGCAGTCCACAGCTTGGCAGCCCAGAATGAGTTGTATAAAAACAGGATAATACAGAAAGAACATAAAGACAGGTCCAACAACATCCCTATAGGTTGCAAGGGAAGGAGACAAGTGAAGCCAGAACCGAATGGATGGGCTGGGAGAACGGTGAGGTGGTAGGCAAGGGAAAGGTCAAAATCAGTGGGATGGGGAAAGGTGTAAATGGCAGGCCTAGGTAATTGTGTTACTGTGGACCTTTACATCTGTCTGTCTTGTTTGTTTATACCAGAAATTTCTGCCTGGATAATAAAAAAAGGATATGCTTTTAAAGTTAAACGTACTTTGGCACTTCTGAAAAGACTGATCGGACTGTTTAGTAAAGAAAGCTGAATTTTGATCCTCCATCTTCTTTAACTTTTTACCTATGGCTTTGGATGAAGTCTGCTTTAAAAGAAGAAGAAAAAGAAGATGTCAAAGAGTTGTAAATTGCAGAATGACATCTACCATGTGGTTCTTCTGCCACTCTCACTAATATTGCTTAGCATTCTGACTTTTAAAAATAACGTGGTTATTGAGATTTAAAACTCTGTGGATGCAGAATACATTTTTGAAAATAAGACTTTTTACTATGCATAGCCAATTATAGTCCACTGAGGAAATGATGTATTTTTCCAATACATTTTTATTATGTACTTAACTGACGGACCTTCCCAGCTTCTTCACAGACATTCCACTCCATCAGCCACTGTTCATAATGTGCTTCTTAGGAATCTACTTAAATTTGTATTTACCTGTGAGGCTGGATTGGCTCCAGAGGACACAGTCCTTTTTTCCTTGAGTAAATTATACATATTTTAGAAAACTATCTAAAAACATATTTATCTCATATGGAATTCTGGCCTCAAGGGTAATTAAGACCCGTTTTTAAAAAGCATAGCCAATACACTTTAACTCTCTCAGGTAAATAAGATATATTTTATAATCATCTAAGAGCGATTTCTCTCTTCCTTTCCTTCTCTTTCCCTTCTCCTGTAACTATCACCATGCCTCTTTTAAACACATATTTTGTAATTATTTCAATGTTTCCTCAGATACTGCTTTTCTCCTGGGGGCCAGTGCACCAATTACGCTTTCCTTCCACCCCATGCACTGGCAACTGAACACAGAAGAGGCATAGTCTACCTGAAGTATAATTTCTAGAAGAGAAGTTACTTTGTGAAGATCCAGGCCCTTCTGCATATGCATGTTCATTGGTCCTCCCATTTTAAAAAGGTAGTTTCAATACTGGGTAGTTTAGAGCTCAGAGTAGAGTTTGTTTGCTAAGAGAGGCATAATTGAATGAACACTATATTTTGAGATTAATTTTAAAATGAAAATGATACCTGAAAGTAAATGTGCAATAGCATCACTGTAATTATTACAGAAGCAACTACACACCACAATCATTATTACAACAAAGGAAATAAATGAAATTTCCTAGCAATAACATGATTTCTCATTTAGCTGTTTTGCACTTCTAAAACAACCTTTACACGATGAATTTTTTGCATCCAATGAATAATGAAAATGCGCAACCCATTCTTCCTTTTCCCTATAAGAATACTGCAGTATTCCCCAGAGGCGGAAGGCAATAGGAAGCTATATGGCAATAATTTTTAGGGGGTTTGTGCAAACTGCATGACTAGAGAACTAAAAACTTAGGAGAAAAGGTGTTTCCTAGAAATTGCAAGATAAGTGTAGGGAGTAGAATAATGCCTGGTTTGTTTCTTCTCTCTCCATCTCTGAGGTCCAATCCTTTACATTTCATAAGACTGACTTCTGCAGTTGCTGTGGATAAATGTCACTGCCATATGCACTCCTCCACTGTGGGGTCAAAGTTTCTACTGGTCTCTTCTCAGTCAGGGTAATTAGGACCTGAGAGTTCATCCTGCTCTACTTCAAGCCACAGTGAACCCCTGAACAAGATCCTCTGGGTTTATGGTTTATATAGCCCTCCTAATCAAAATATTTGCAGCTCTTGCTAAACTTCAAAACTTGGATGAGGGCTTTCTGTTGTGTTAGTGGCCTAAATCCCAAACAATTTTCCTGCCCAGATTAGTCTTAGAATTCAGATGACCATAAATCCCAGTTACAGAGTACAGTCCCTGTTTACACCTGTTATCCTGCTATAATCAATAGCTTTCACTTTCAGAGGTGTCCCTGTTTGGATGATAAGTACTATGTGATCTCTACTTACATGAAGTCTTTGGACTGAATTTTGTTTCCTTGGATGTTTTTGTGTTTGTGCTTTTTATGGCTATGTGCTTTTTATGTCTATGAAGGGTTATATTTTCTTTTTTCATACTCAGGTAAGTTTGAGTAGATTTTTTTAAAAAAACATCCTAGTTTTCAAAATAACCTAGGAACCAAGTTAAAACACAAATTCTTTAGCCCCACTTCAAGAGATTCTGATTCAATAAGGTGGAACCTAGGAATTGTTTTAACTGGGTGGTCCTTAGGCACCTGAGTTTGAGAATTTTAGCTTCAAGCACTTGCAAACTCAGCCTACCTATTTGACCCTTAACCTCTGAACTTAGGTATGTACAAGGGGCATACTTATTTCAGGATACTCTGGCGAACATTTGGTCAAGCTGATCAGCTGCAGTTTGGCTGAGTAATACTGAAAGGGTTGAACAACTAGTATTTCCCAAGCTAGCTCAGAGGGCTCATCCTCACCACTTTGTCATTGTTAGAACTCAGGTAACCACTTTGGATAAAATCCAGTTACAAGCGCTCTTCCCTGACTCTCCTGCCAAACACGCAGACACTGTTTCAGCCGGGTGAGATAATTCACCTACCTGAGGAAGCTATTTTGAATATATATATATATATATATATATATATATATATATATTTTATTATTTAAGTTTTAGGGTACATGTGCACAATGTGCAGGTTAGTTACATATGTATACATGTGCCATGCTGGTGTGCTGCACCCATTAACTCGTCATTTAGCATTAGGTATATCTCCCAATGCTAACCCTCCCCCCTCCCTGCACCCCACAACAGTCCCCGGAGTGTGATGTTCCCCTTCCTGTGTCCATGTGTTCTCATTGTTCAATTCCCATCTATGAGTGAGAACATGCGGTGTTTGGTTTTTTGTAAGGCGACTGGTAAGTATGGATCGAGAATCGTGGCTTATTTCATCTGGAACGTTGATCCTAGAACAAAAGACAAGTCATTAAGTGATTCAGCTCCCCCTTCTCTGTTCCTTCATGCAGCATTGTGCGCAATCAAGGACACATGCCATTCAACAACGGCTCTGCTTTGCTGACACTCTCAAAGTCATTCTTTCACAGCTGTCAGGGCTCTGTACGCTTTATGCATTCCTTCTGGGCACTTGATCCTCACATTCCACCAGGCAGGAGAAGCAAGCACTTGAACAAAAGGAAGCAAGGACTCAGCTTCCCGGAGGTCAGGGCTATAGCCCTCGCACATATTAATAAACTGCCATTTACATTCTCCAGGTCACTTTTATTAGGCTTTCAAGGTCACCTGCCTTTGAGAAGTCTTAGAATTTTTTTTCTTCATGCTCATCCTCACCCCCTGTCTCCACCCCACCTTGCCCCTTCTCTCATACACTATCTCATATGCCTGGGCTCTGTAGAAGGAAATTAAACTGTGATTTGGTATGCTAAATTACCTGAACTAAAAACTATAATTTGCAATATTATTAAGTCATCACTGTCATGGATTTCAGTTTCTTTCTGTTTAAACCCCTAACTCATAGCATCATTTTTTCTATTACTAAAGGAGAAAAGGAGAGAAAGGCCCTTGGTCGCTCTACTGACTTATCACTCTGTCAGGAAAGTTATATTATGCTTCTGAGTGATTACTTCAGCCCGGCCAGTATTTAGTTAAAACCTCCACCTTGCATTCAAGGTGTGCTTGTTCTTGTTTAAGGGCATATAGGAGAGATATGGGGACTGTTGGGTCAGTTGCAGGGATTAGAAAGTCCACAATTCTCTTTCCAAAGGAATCCTGCCCAGGTTTCGGTTCTGGATGACGGGGACATTTCCTTTTTGTATGCTACTCCCAGTCCTTTTGGAAAGACTTGGATATTTCCTGCTAGCTGGCAGCATCGATGGCCTTCACAATCACCAGATGCTTAATCCCCTTTTGCCATATTCTCTGTGTTGCTGCTTTGAATTAGGCATCAGTATTTTCTGTAAGAATAGACCAGTCAAGATGACTAGGTTTTGCTGCAGTAATAACTGCAAGTCTTGGGGGCTTAAGACCACAATGCTTTTTTCTTGCTTATACTATCTGTCGATCCAGGATGGGCAGAGGGGACTTCATGCCACATCTTTGTTGTCACCCTCACGTTAAGCCCTAAGCTCAAATGTTTTGCTGTTTGAAATACTGCCAGTCACCATGTTGGAAAGAGAAGCACTGGCTCTTAAAGCTTCCTCCTAGAAGAGACATAGACCATTTCTGTTTGCCTTTCATTGGTCAGAGCAAGTCACTTTTAGCAGATAAGGAAGTGCAGTCCTACTACAAGCCCAAAAAGAGATGGCCAGAATATTTGTATATGACCTTAATGATTATACAATTGTCTAGTAGGTTTATGATTCTAAAATAATGAAAGGAGAGAATGAGAATAAAAACCAAGTTTCATTTGCCCCCCAGATATGTAATTTGAACCATTGAGAAAATAATGCTTCCCCCTGTACGTCAATAACATGACAAAAGCAAAGTGCAGACTTTGGTAACTAGGGGAACAGCAATGATGAGATATGATCACGGGTTCTTGTGGCGGGTAGCTCCCTCTGCGACTGCCTAGGCATAAACAATAGCATAAGGTGGGATGTACTCTGTAATATGTCAGCACTGATCTAGGGAAAGGGAACAAGGGACTGGAATATGCTATTTTCTGTCTTTTTCTCATTCAGCAAGTTCTTCTCTCTCTTTCTCATTCAGCAAGTTTTCTACTAAAGGACGTAGATTTTACCAAGTGATTGTACAGACTGAAGTAATAGTTTTTCGGGCTCTGGAGTCAGACTTCTTTTAGTTTAGATCCCAGCTTCATTTGGTACCTAAATGATCTTGGGTAAACTGCTTAACCTCTCTGTAGCCTCATTGCTTCCATGTGTGGAGTGGATATAGTAACAGTGCTTACCTTACAGCATTGATAAAATGTATTTATAGCTCTTGGCCCAAGGCTTTAGAGATGTTCTCTAGCAGGAGAATCACTGAATTTCATTATTCACTTAATACCAATAACTATAGATTCTGAAATTTGGGAAAAGTAGCTCATTTTCCACTGCCTTGATATTTTTTTTTTTTTTTTTTTTTTTTTTTTTTTTGAGATGAAGTCTTGCTCTGTCACCCAGGCTGGAGTGCAGTGGCACGATGTCAGCTTACTGCAACCTCCACTTCCCAGGTTCAAGTGATTCTCCTGCCTCAGCCTCCTGAGCAGCTGGGATTACAGGCACATGCCAGCATGCCCGGCTAATTTTTGTATTTTTAGTAGAGACAGGGTTTCGCCATGTTGGCCAGGCTGGTTTTGAACTACTGACCTCAGGTGATCTGTCTACCTTGGCCCCCCAAAGTGCTGGGATTACAGACGTGAGCCACCACAGCTGGCCGATAAGATGTTTTAAATATTTCTTTCATTCTTCAAAAGTAGGTTCCAGGGCACAGGGTTGCATATATCTTAAGTGCCAGGGGATACCACCTAATAAGACACTATTGCAGGTGTTTTTTGCTGAGTCATCCACAGCAAAGGGTACATCTGTCTGTGCAAAGGAAATACTTTTTTCTGTAGTCTTCTTGATGATAGATTGGCCTAGCAAAAATTTTACAGGCTGGTGAGGATTCTGAACTTTCAAGGTTTGTCTAGTTATTTAAATATGATGCATATAACCTAATAAGACATAGATGCTCAGAATCAAAACATAACTTCAGATCATCACATAAGTCAAGGACAAGAATGCTCTGGGGCCACAATTACAGCAGAAGCATCAAAAAACAAAACAAAACTGTATTTCTTGACCTTCTAGTGTCAGCTCATCTCCCAGGCTTCTAATTGCATTGAGCGCTATTGCAGACGGTGGCCAGTCTGTGTAGTCAGTCCACCGTGTCCAGTCAAGGTAATATCCTCTTGGATAGTAAAATATATGAGGTTCAATTTGCTTCTCTTTTTCTACTTAGTTTGAAGACTCAACAGAGAGCTGGAAATGTAGTGCTACAGTGCTTCTGGCTCAAGAAAGTCTTTTTGGAATCTATTAGTATCATCAGTGTCCTGAGACAATCGAGAAACTTAGAGTGCTGATAACTATGCTCAAAAAGTAAATGTGCAAGGCAATGTTAACTATATTTTCCATTACATTCCAAGTCTATTAATAGAAAGAACAAAGATCAGAGAATAAAAACTTGCCCCACAGAAATTTTATTTCCAGTCAAAGATTTGAATCTAAATTTTTCAGAGCATGGGACTAAAGAGATCAGGCAATCATGGGTTTTGTCCTGTAGCCACAAAGGATGTATGTACCTATTTAACCATGTCAAAATGTTTCCTGGTAAACTAGGGGGCCAGGTTAGAAAGTTGGCAGGGAGCCATGTACTCAGAACTACTCTGAGAAGCCTTAACGGACTGCTGTCTCGACAATGTTTCAGTAGTTCCACAGTCGTCACCCTGTGCTCTTTAGCAAGCTCTGAGTCCTAACTGTACATGCAACTGGCATGTGTTTATCTAGTCTGGAAAATGCTTTCCTATAAAAGATGAAGAAACTGAGTTTAAAAGTCCACATACCTTTGGAAGACACAGAAGATGGAATAAAACCCACATCAAATTACAGAAACCTAATCATCTGGGTCAAACAGTATAATTTGTCAATAGTATCAAAACTTCCTTATGGTTTCTTTCTTGAGACAGAGTTGCACTCTTGTCACCCAGTCTGGAGTGCAATGGCACAATCTCAGCTCGCTGCAACCTCTGACTCCTGGGTTCAAGCAATTATTTTGCCTCAGCCTCCCAAGTACCTGGGATTACAGGCGCGCGCCACTACGCCGAGCAATTTTTATACTTTTAGTAGAGACGGGATTTCACCACATTGGCCAGACTGGTCTCAAACTCCTGACCTCAGATGATCCACCTGTCTTGGCCTCCCAAGGTGCTGGGTTTACAGGCGTGAGCCACCATGCCTGGCCTCCTTATAATTTCAGAAGCTCAATTTATTACAGAATAATTACCCCCATCCAGTTAGTATAATAGTTAAAGACCACTAACCCACCAATCAGAAGACCTCGATTCTAGATCCGCCTCTGTTGCAATCTGGACTTTACCTCTCTTAGCTTTATATATGAAAAGGATTATTTGGGCTAGAACAGAAGTCAGTAAACTACAGTCCACAGGCCAAATTCAGCCAACTGTAAATAAAGTTTTATTGGCATACAACTACACCCATTTGTTTTCTTACTATCTACGGCTGCTTTCATGCTTTCAATGAAGGGGTGAATAGCGGCAACACAGATTATGTGGCCTGGAACACCTAAAATATTTACTATTTAGCCCTTTACAGAAAAAAAAATTACTTCTGAATTGGAAGCTATCCAAGAGATAGCTCCTCTGTCTCCTCATCTGCAAAATGGGAACAAAAATAATACTTGCCTCATAAGATTATGAGGATTAAATGATGGTTCTTAATACAGTTTCTACATAGGAAATGATAGGTAACATATAATTATATAACTGTTAAAATGGTGAGCATGACCATTGTCAGAATTGTAGCAATCAGTTTTCCATTACAGAAAAAATACTTGCTGCTGTCGTGCTATGCTACGATATTACATGGAACAGAAAAGATGGCAGTTCACACACAGAACTCCTGGACAACTGAAATAACAAAATCCAGTACAGGCAGAAGATATGGATAAAGGCAAACTGTATCTCCAGCCTAAAAAAAAAGCTGGAAACCTACATTATCTAATTATCAACCTGATACTTGAGCTAGACTTTGAAGGCTAAGTCAGATTCAAACAAGCCAAAAGAGGAACTTAAAGGTATTCAAGGTCAAGGGGAAGTGGAATTCCCAAGAGGCCTTGAGAGGGCAGTTTGTAGAAGAATTTAGCCACAGCAAAATATACTGACGCAAGAGTTGTGAGTGACAGGGTAAGAATGGTTGGTTGGGACCAGGTTGTGGAGTTTTGAGCACTGGAGCAAGGAATGTAGACAGTTTCTTATGTGCATTGAGATCCACTGAAGTTTTCTGAACCTGAAAAATATTAGTATTTCTAGAATAATTTACCTATCTTTATGACATGGAATGCATGAGAAGACAAAGAAACAGGAAATTAAGTTCATTTTAAAGAGATGAATTTCAGTTTTGTCTGCACTATTACATTATAAAAATGTCTTATATTTGTTGTTTATATTTGTTCTTATTCCCCTTTGTAAAATTTCACTTAAGCCTACTTTACCTACTGTATTTAAAATGGAGTAGTAGCTAATGCACAAATATACAAATGAAGTCATGGTTTTTATTCTTTCTGTAACTACTTAAAGAGCATCATTTTACATATATCTCAAAACATTCATAATATTAGCACTTATTAGGGGTTTACCGTGTAAAAGATAGGAGAAAATGAGTCAAACATGAGTAACGCCTTCAATCTGGGAGGGGAAATAAATGACATAAAAGAATTAATAGAGGGCTGTGAGTCATTTGAGTATTCAGAAAGGAGTAGGAGGCAGAAAGGGCTCCAGTCAAGTGTGGCGGATATTGTCTACCCAGTGTTTATTTCCCCATTTTCCCTTGCTAATGGAAGACGGACTTTGTACATAATGACAAAGATTCTGCCTAAATCCTCAGTTTTCTAAGGTTTCATTGTATCTATGAATGACTCTTTAATATAGTTCTGGCCAAAGAGCTGGAAAAGGATGTGTTCCGGGGGTTTCTGGGAAAGTTTTTTACTTTCTTGATAACATAGGACAGATATTGCTGACTCCATCCTTCCCCCTCTCATCTACCTTTGAATGTGAATGCAATGCTTACAGCTGGGGCAGCCATATTAACACCATGAGGCAATAAACATAAGGATGAAGAAATGGAAAGACAGAAAGTTCTTAGGGCCCAAATGATCACTTTGAACATCTGGTACAATATCAATAACCTGACTTCTGAACTTCCTATTGCATGAGGAAAATTAACTCTACTACCTAATCTACTACTAGAATATTCTGTTGCTTGCAGCCGAGCACTTTGTGCTGCTTCTCTTCTGTAAATATGTTTTTCTTCAATGAGTACTTATTTCTTCAACACATTTTTCTTCAAGTTTCTATTAAGCACCTATGTGTCAGGCTCAGTGTTAGGCACTAGAAATAAATATAATGATGCCTCCCTTAATTTTTCTCTGCAAGAATACCTGATGATTTTGAAGATACTCAAATGGAGAACAGTAAAATGACTCTTTCCTCTCCACCTTTCTTTCATATCGCCTAACTGCCCTCTACCCCTACCAGCTCATCTGCAAAATGGGAATAAGAGACAAAAAGAGACAAAGTGAAAATGAGGCTAAAAGAAGTCAAATATATGTATTACACATGCCTCCTCCCCATTCTCCCAGAAGAAATGGAAACAAGTGGACACTCTGTAAGAGAACAGGAAAGCCAGTGCAGCTCCTTTATCCCTCCTCACATCTTGCACCAAAGAGCACACTCTCCGAGCTGTGGAGCAGCTATGGAATCTCCACCCAGAACATTATAATTGACCCATTTTGGGAAAAGGTTTGTTCACTTGTGGGCATACTGGTTATAGACAGAAAGGCATTATTAAGCAAGTCCTCAAACCTGAAGCCCTAAACTTCCCCTTAGACCTTGCTGCACTCAGGCGTATCCAGTAAGAAAACTATGGTCATGAGAAGTGGCTGGGAAACATTCTTACTCTCTGTGGGTGGGAGCATGTCATAGGACTACTCTGGAGTCTTCCTTCTCTTGTTGTTTCAACCATCTTAAAAGCAATGGTTATCTGACAAGAAATGCTGTGTTAAGGCTGTGCCCTTGGACTTGTCCAAGTTTGCACAGCACAGGCAGGGCAGGATTTGAATCCAATGTTAAAGCCCCTTACTGTATTTTGGGAAATGAGCTGAACACAGTTTTAGTCTTGGTATCAAATCTCGGGATGTAATCCAGTCAAGAACTACCTATTGGTGGCTGGGCGCGGTGGCTCACACCTGTAATCCCAGCACGTTGGAGGCCGAGACGGGCGGATCACCTGAGGTTGGGAGTTCGAGATCAGCCTGACCAACATGGAGAAGCCCCATCTCTACTAAAAATACAAAATACAAAAATTAGCCCAGTGTGGTGGCACACGCCTGTAATCCCAGCTACTCAGAAGGCTGAGGCGTGAGAATCCCTTGAACCTGGGAGACAGAGGTTGCAGTGAGCTGAGATGGCACCACTGCACTCCAGCCTGGGTGACAGAGCAAGACTCTGTCTCAAAAAAAAAAATGTTAGTGAAACCAAAACTGAGATCCATTTTCAGAACTTGACCAAGTTTGCATAACGCCAGCAGGGCAGGATTTGAATCCAGTGCTAAATCCCCTGTCCATCTAATTAGTCCGTTATCCATGCTTCTTGCTCCTTGCTCCCTGTGCATTTTAGAAGTACAGAGGCTGCTAACTGGCAGCTAAGGGGCTGAATTCAGCTGTGGACAGGATTTTAAAACAGTCTTCAAAAATCAGGAGAAGCTGAGCTCAACGGCTCACGCCTATAATCCGAGCACTTTGGGAGGCCAAGGTGGGTGGATCACTTCGGATCAGCCCAGGAGTTAGAGACCAGCCTGGGCAACATGGCAAAACAAACAAACAAACAAACAATAACATTAGCTGGGTGTGGTGGCGTGCATCTGTAGTTCCAGCTACTCCGGAAGCTGAGGTGGGAGGATCACTTGAGCCCGGGAAGCAGAGGTTGCAGTGAGCTGTGATGGTGCCACTGCACTCCACCTTGGGTGATGGAGCCACATCCTGACTCAGAAAAAGAACAAGAAAAATCAAGAGCTCTCATGGAAAAATGTGGATTTTGGCCGGGCACAGTGGCTCACACCTGTAATCCTAGCACTTTGGGAGACCGAGGTGGACAGATCACAAGGTCAGAAGATCGAGACCATCCTGGCTAACATGGTGAAACCCCGTCTCTACTAAAAATATACAAAAAATTAGCCGGGTGTGGTGGCAGGTGCCTGTAGTCCCAGCTACTCGGGAGGCTGAGGCAGGAGAATGGCGTGAACCCGGAAGGCGGAGCTTGCAGTGAGCCGAGATCGCGCCACTGCACTCGAGCCTGGGCGACAGAGGGAGACTCCATCTCAAAAAAAAAAAAAAAAAAAAAAAATGTGGATTTTGAGCTTCTCTTGAAAGACGGAAAGTTCTGGCAACATTGGGCCTGGATTCCAACATGGCCATGATGACTGGGATGCCCTCTCCATGGGCCCCATGCTCTCACCCAGCCTGGCCTGTGCAGGCGTTTCCGTTTGTGTCGGATAGCTCCTTGTTGGCACCTGTCATAAAGCATTTTTCACTTTCTCTCTTATCTCACCTTCGTGAGGCTGCAAGCTTCCTTTTTTATTTCTGTCTTCTCTGCTGTGTTTTTCCTCTCTCTAGCATGGAGTCAGTGCTTGGCATATCATAGACTCTCTTTTTTTTTTTTTATTGAATTGAAATATAAGCCTGCAGATTTGCTAATAAGTTCAACATTTAATACTGCTCCAAATACAGCTTTTAGGTTAATTTTAGTATAGCCAATTCTTGCTTCGTCCCATTTATAGAAAAATAGGAGTGAGAAGCCAGTGAATAATCCCCCAGATTTTTTTTTTTTTTTTTTTACATTGGGTTACATCAGTGTTTTCATTAGATTCTTATTAGATGTTCGTACTTGATTGCTCTGTTTTGGTAGATTAGGAAATCACATTTTATTTTCCCTATGAAGTCTTCCGTGCTTCTAGGTTAGTCATCTCCCCACCTTTCTTATGCCTCTATTGTAGAATTTATCAGATAGTATCCTAAGGATTTGTTTACCAACCTGTTCCCTTACAGGCAGGGACTGTGCATTATTCATTTTCGTTATCTCCCCCAGCCTAGCAGATAATAGGTTTTCAATACAGTTTCAATGAGTGAATTATTGCCTGAAGTAGGTACACAATAGATAGAAGATATATATTGAAATTTCTTTAGTCTGACATGAAGGAACATAGACTTTACTTCCTCAAGTTAATCAGTGGTTTTGATAGTTTAATATAGTACTTTTCTTTGTATTTCTTTTCAGTTAAAAATGTAATGTTAATCCTTAAACAGCAAAGAGATATTCTGTCAAATTAAAAAAAAAAAGAAAAAGGCTTTAGAAGTTTCTATGCATTCTTCTTTGGTGTTGGTTTTCACAGGCAGTAATTGGGATCATTAGCTCATGATTCTCTTTCCAAGGCAAGCTCTAAGACCCAGGGAGCACTTGTGGGTTTGACCTAAGGCTGTTAGGCAGCCACAGTTCCTGCCTCAGCTCTGACTTTGTTAACCAAAACAATGATAGCTATGGTACTTCATTTACTTAGTATCACTAAGCCCAAGATGGAAAAATCAGTGGACACACTTAAAACTGATAAAAAGATATACATTCTTGGCCAGGCATGGCAGTGCACCCCTGTAATCCCAGTACTTTGGGAGGCTGAGGCAGGAGGATCACTTATACCCGAGAGTTTGAGACCAGCCTGGGCAACATGGCAAAACCGCATCTCTATAAGAAAAATAATAATAGAAAATTTAAAAAAATTTAAAAACATACATTCTTTTTCACTTTCTGCTATTGGGCTATAGTAGATGGGTTCGAGCATCATTTCTTCCTATAGTCTTCCACTTTCCAGCCGTTTTACCCTAATAATGTTATTACCTTAATGACACTAAAGATTTTGCCTTACACTTCATGGCTTATACAGTGTCGTTCAAACACTCTAGAAATAAAGTAGGGACTAACATTTATGGAACACTGATATGAGCCAAGCACTGGGTTAAGCATTTTAACTGGATCATTACATTTGAGGCATCTAACAACCCTAAGAAATAGGTAGCACTGTTAACCCCAATCTCACATCTGAGGAAACTGAGGTTTAGGGAGGTTAAGGAATTCATGCAAAGTCACAAGCAGTAAATCACAGAGTAGAATTCTAATTCAACGCATGCAAGCATTTGCCCCTCTGCTATCCCAGAATTCTGCTCTTATAGGCTGTTTGGCAGAAATTCCTCATCCAAAAGGTACTAGTGACTTTTGCTAGACGAGGTTCTTACCTTGGTGGCATGGGCTGCTATTATTTAATTATTACTAAAGCATCTGAGAGGAAGCTGACCACAAGTTAATTTTAAAATCATGC
Organism: Homo sapiens; assembly: GCF_000001405.40. NCBI lineage: Eukaryota > Metazoa > Chordata > Mammalia > Primates > Hominidae > Homo > Homo sapiens. Next base: position 94,741,608 of record NC_000005.10, on the reverse strand, counting down.
TCTTAGCAGCATTAGCAGAGCCTCCCAAAGTAGCTGCCAGGTCTGAGTCCTGGAGCTTGCCTGTTTCCTCTTTTGTCATCCAAGATTGATTTTGTATTGGACTCTATCTTGAATTCAACACCATAATAATTGGCACAAAAAGAGAAGTCAAGTCATTTTATTTACCAAAAGCAGATATAAATGTTTGAATGGTAGAAACCAGAGGGTCTCTTCATGTTTTCTCTCATTGTTTAGTCTAAGAAGGAAAGTGCAGCTTGAAATGAATAAACGAGTGTTCCATTTTTATACTTCTTATTGTGAGCAATCATCATTTCCTTTTTTTAACTTGAAATTTTAATTTACAAGGGTCACTATGTGAGAGTGTTTCCAGAAGCCAAATATTTTCGATGACATATCTGTGAAATTATAAGTTTTGACAACAGAGTTATAAATAAGACTCTAATTTACTTCTAAAGGTCCTCTCACATTACACACAGTTTGCAGATGAATAGTGAACATTTCACACTCCAGGGAGGAAGGAGATGCTACCAAGATGGCCGAGCAGGTGCCCTTGGTCATGAAGACTCTTGACAGCTTCCCCACCAGCTTCCTCTAACTTCATTCTCCTTGCTGTGGATTCTTGGCTTTAATCCAGTGCTTTGATTTCTCATCTTCATGCAATAATTTGTGTGTTTCCGCAACCTGTGTTCTCACCTTCTCCAGGAAGTCTTCTTTGATTAATCTCACCTTCCCAATTAATCATTCCTTTGTTGAAGGTCTTCCCAAAGTTAATAGAGTCAGGATTCTCAAGTATTTGGAAATATTTTCATCTGGGTCTGTTCAACTCCTCAAGAGCATAAAAGTCCAGTATCTCTTCGAAAGCCTGGCCTGCTATACTCTGCACACAGTTGGCACTCGGAAATATGGACCGACTGACCAAATAAACAGAAGCAGAGCTTCTCTCACAATGAAGCTCTACGTACTTTGCATACAAATTGCTAAGGTATTGGGAATAATGTCTCTATTCATATTAAAATTATGAAATCCAACAGCCTGAATTTCTGCCACTTACAACCACACCAAATTTACTCCAAGTAGCAGCTTGTTCACTAGGAAAACCTGACTCAGCAGGTTTAAATTATTCATTTTGAGCCACTTAACTTCTAGATTTCCCCCATTCAGTGGCTTAAACTCGACTTTAATACTGCATGCACTAAAAAAAATTTGCATTTAATTACAGCAGTAGTATGTTTTCCTGTTGCCATCTGAAACATACTCATTATCAGTGTCAGGCTTGCATTGAGAGAGTTTGGTTATTTATATCTAAAAAAATCAAATTCAACAAAGATAACTGAAGGCATGTAAGGAGGTTTTCCTGCTTTTTTATTGTAAGAGTATGCAGCCTGTAGAGACACAAATTCAAAATCTTGGCAAATCATATTTTCAATGACTTTGTCTAAAGATAAATGGATATGTGTAGAGAAAGTTATTTTAAGAATGATAAGTCAACATGAATTTTATTTTTGAAATGTACATATACATATATTTCCAATACGTGTATGATTCAAGAAAATATTGTGTCTGGCAAGTAATTACTGTAGCACTTCATGTGATGAAGAGATTTGAGCCTTAACAAAATTTTATTTAAAACTACCTTAAACAGGCCGGGCACAGTGGCTCACGCCTGTAATCCCAGCACTTTGGGAGACTGAGGTGGGTGGATCACCTGAGGTCAGGAGTTCGAGATCAGCCTGGCCAACATGGCAAAACCCCATCTCTACTAAAAACACAAAAATTAGCTGGGCGTGGTGGCACACATCAGTAATCCCAGCTACTCGGGAGAGTGGTGAGGCAGGAAAATTGCTTGAACCTGGGAGGTGGAGGTTGCAGTGGGCTGAGATCATGCCATTGCACTCCAGGCTGGGCGACAGAGTAAGACTCCGTCTCAAACAACAAAAAACAAACAAACAAAACTACCTTAAACCTTATTCCAAATCAAGGAACATTAAGATCTCATTGTACACTTATAATTACAGGGTTAAAATTGCGATTTGAGATGCCAAAAGGCTGGGTTTGGGCACTCCTTGGATTATCCATTTTATTAAGATCAACTCATCTTCTTATTCGAATGCCATGCCATTGAAGCCTTGTGTAGGGAAGTTCAATACATTTTGTAATTCCATGATATATTTAAATTAATTTAAGAACAAAGTCCTTAGATCCACAAGTTGTTGCGGTGGTTTTAATCAGAACCAGAAGCATTCCTGCTGCCCCAGGTGATACCATATGAATAAATGTTGATTTCATGAATCCTATGCCCTGTTGATCGAACCACATTCTTGTCTAATGTGTTTGTGAAACAGTAAAAGTTTTGTTCTTCAAAGGTGGAAGGTTGTCTACTTAGAATTGATGTATTTTGAAGATCGATAGTGACCTCTTGAATGGTATTCATAAATCACAACCAACCTGCAAATACAAAGTGAAATGAATAAATTAGACAAATCCTTGCCAAATTTTAAACACAATTTTCACCATAAATACCAAGGTAATCAAAGAACTGCTCTCTTGGCCGAAATTACTGGGAAACATTATGCCAGTTTTCTTCCTCACCAAATATGCAGATACATTGACATGAAGCTACTGCTGCTGTTGAAAAGATCACATGTGTTTTAACTAGCAAAAGATGACAAGGTGATCAGAAGCCACACCTGGGAGACATCTGCAGCCTAAAAGATCAGAATAATGAAATGCTGTATTGGTGGACACAACCGAAGTATTTAGGAAGCTTTGTGTTCTTTACTGAGCTCGGTACAGTGGAGAAGGGGATATTTTAAAACACACAACAATCGCCGTCCTCAAGGTGTTTTTCACATTACAGAAGCCATCTGCTAGCCCACAGACATAATGGACAATAATGAGAGGGCAGGAGAAACAGATCAGGAGTACATCTCAGGCTGCAGACAATCATCATTCTCAGAATTCACAACAGGGAGAGATGAATCAACTGTAGTAGTCAAGTAGGGCTTCTTGTAGGCAATGGGCTTTGAGTTAAGTCTTAAACAATAAGAATTCCCAAGGTAGAGGTGAGGTGGAGAGGGTGCTGCTTCAGGTAGAATGTTCAGTATGGGGGGACAGGCTGGTGAGTGTGATGTGTGTTCACAGGCCACATCTGACCCTCTTGCTAGAATTCAGCTTGTTAAGGAAGTTCAGAATTGGGCACTTTGCACTGGGACAAGGTGCTTCTACTGAATGTATTGCAAACAAATTTGTTTCATTTTTCTCAAGCAGAGGAATGATATAAATGGCAATTCTTAAGAGACAGTGGAGAATCCAATCAGGACCACAACGATAAGGCAAGGGTGGTCCGATCTAGATAGTGCAGTGGGGATTGAAAAGGAATTTCAAAAGATATTATTCTGCCAAATTTCTGGGGGCTAAAACTTCATAAATTAACTAGAAGATGAGGGTTATCCATAAAGCTTCTGAATGTTACCCATGAATTAAATTAGCAGAACATACTGTTTTAAGTATAATGTACCTGCAGTTTGCCACAAGTGCCACTAGGTGGTGAGCACGCATTATTCGTGGCTTGAGATTAGCTGTTTCGCTTCTGATGAATGGCATTTAGCTAGTTTTAAGAATTCAAATTCTGGCCGGGTGCGGTGGCTCACGCCTGCAATCCCAGCACTCTGGGAGGCCGAGGCAGGTGGATCGCCTGAGCTCAGGAGTTTGAGACCACCAAGGGCAACATGGTGAAACCCCGTCTCTACTAAAAATACAAAAAAATTAACCAAGTGTGGTGGCGCACACCTCTACTCCCAGCTATTTGGGAGGCTTGAAGCAGGAGAATCACTTGAGCCCCAGAGGCAAAGGTTGCAGTGAGCCAAGATCGCACCACGGGACTCCAGCTTGAGCTACAGAGTGAGATTCTGTCTCAAACAAAAGTAATTCTAATTGAATCAAATTAGATTTTCTTTTAGTAAAGAGTTGATAACTTATGTAACTGGTTATTGATAGAGGAAATGGAACTATTCCTCAGTAATGGTTATTGCAAATATTTAAGAACCTGTATAAATTGGAGTTATTGAAACAAAACTACAGGACTCCCTATTTTAATTTTTTCTATTCAGTACTCACTCAAGAAACATCCCTATTTAGTATTCAAACAGTGACAAGAATTTTTGGTAATAAATGACATCAAACTATTTGGGTGCTTAGAATTTGAAATTATGCTTTATTCTAATATCTAAGCTTACTGCTCTGGGTTAGAGCCTATCTCTTCTACTTAGATGTGTGCCCCAATATGTTAGATACTACCATTATCTGGCAGTGTTTCTGCTATCACCAGGAGGCCCAGCAAAAGCATATTACTTGCACTGTTTCCCTCCCTCCCTCCCTCCTCCTCTGAGATAAAAATATTCTACCTCAGCCTGGAAAACATAGTGAGATTCTTTCTCTACAAAAAAATTTAAAAATTAGCTGGATGTGGTGGTACATGCCTTGGTCCCAGGTACTCCAGAGGCTAAGGCAGGAGGTTCGCTTCAGCCCAGGAGGTCAGGGCTGTGGTGAGTCATGATCATTGCCACGGCACTGCAGCCTGAGTTAAAAGAGCAAGATCCTGTCTCCAAAGAAAAGAAAAATTTCACTTGACTATAAGCATCATGAAGTCAGGGTCTCCATGTCTGTTGGGATTAGCTCTCTATCCTATGCCTGGCATGGTACCAAGTACAGAGTAGACTCTCAATGAGTTAATGAACTTTTTCTGCAAGTTAAAAAATAATGCAGTGACCTCTCCATGTTATCTCAGTAAATCAAATACAACTACGTAGTGTATTTTTGCCAGTTAAGTAATCAGAATTTACCTCTATTACCTCCTGAAAATGACTCAGAAGGAGTTCACACAGAGATCTTCATGGACTCTGTGTTTCTTGCAGTCTCTCATTTAAAATATGCATGCAAGGGTGTGTGTGTATGTATGTGTGAAAGAGGCTGGCATTTTGGTATTAATCTTTCAAGGTTAATTCAAGATTGTGATTTTGGTTACACTAAGTTCTCAGGGTTAATCTATATTTACATTGCCTTTATTTATCTATATAAACATGGGAATGCATATCACAAAAGGATCCCCCCCAAAAAAATTTTTTTTTGAGACAGGGTCTTGCTCTGTCACCCAGGCTGGAGTGCAGTGGCACAATTTCGCCTCACTGCAGCCTCGACCTCCCAGGCTCAAGTGATTCCCCCACCTCAGCCTCCCGAGTGGTTGGGACCAGAGGCATGCACCCCAAGCCCAGCTAGTTTTTTTTCATACAGACAGGTTCTCACTATGTTGCCCAGGCTGGTCTCAAATTCCTGAGCTTAAGCAATCCTCCTGCCTCAGCCTCCCAAAGTGCTGGGATTACAGGCATGAGCCACTGCACCCAGAAGATCAAATATTTGAATTTGGGACTGTGCTACCATAGCAATATTGTAAGTGATAGTGGTGGTTGAGGTGGCCATTTATTGTGTATAATTGAATCTTTCAAATAACCAAGTATTACTAATCATCTTTTAGAGATAAAGAAGCTGAAGTTTGAATGGAATAAGTAAGGTACACATGGACATACATAATGGTTAGCAAGGTCCAAAACCAGGGGTAGTGGGTTGAAACCAAGGTCTGTCCAAACCCAAGGTGATTGGCTCTATAGCCTGTGTACTTTACCCAATTGCTGTACTGCCTTTCTCTACTACTGTGTTGACTTCCCTGCTTGATAACCCATCCAAAGGAATAAAATAGACACATTTATTTGAACATACTGTCGAGTTAGATACCTTAGATATAATGCACAGATATATTTTAAAGTCTCTTTTAGTGTAGCAATTTTGGTGGAAATTGGCACTTAAGAAAAATTATACTTAGTCTATCAGTAGTTTAGAAGTTATTCATGACCTTCCTATTACTGGAAAATACTCAACTGGTTTGGCTATTTATATAGAGTGAAACTGTTCTCTTATGTATATTATGTACTCTATCCTGTAAATCAAAATGAATATCACTTAATCTGAAACATAATGTAGGCCCAACACAGTGGCTCATGCCTATAATCCCAGCGCTTTAGGAGGCTGAGATAAGGAGATCTCTTGAGCCTGGAAGTTCAAGACCAGCCTGGGCATCATGGAAAGACCCTGTCTCTATTTAAAAAAAAAATTAACCAGGCATGGCGGTGTACGCCTGTAGTCTCAGCTACTTGAGAGGCTGAGATGGGAGGATTGCTTGAGCCAGGAGGTTGAAACTATTTTGAGACCCTGTCTCAAAAACAAAAACCAAAAATGTAGACAAATAATGTGGTTAAAAGTGTAAAAAGTGACACTATGGAGCCCCCACAGCAACTAGTCTGGGTCTCCAAGTAGTCTTGAAAATACATGGAAAAGAGAAGGCATGTCTGTGACACGGCCTGGCAAGGAAATGGGTAACTCCGTGTCCTCCTGGTGGGAGTGGAAACTGTACAATCTCTTTTGGAAGGCGATTTGGCAGTAAGTACCAAAATTACAAAAACACAAATCCTTTGGCCAAACAATTCCACTTCTTGTAGTAGAAGTTTATACTACAGATACACTCACACAGGTCAATTATCACATAGACAAGGTGTTCTTTGCTACTACTTTTTTTGTGGTAGCAAAAAACTGATAAAGAACCTAAACATCTATTAAGGGAAAACGGATTAAATAAATAATGGTACATCAATACCATAGGTCATGATGAAGCTGGAAGAATGAGGAAGCTTTTCAACACTGATATGGAACAATCTCTAAGAAACATGGTTAAATAAGAAAAAAAAGCATGGAAATATTTATCATATGCTACTATTTGTGCCTTAAAAATGAAAGAAAGAGACTAGGCATGATGCCTCACTCACATCTGTAATCCCAGCACTTTGGGAGGCCGAGGTGGGAGGATTGCTTTAGGCCGGGAGTCTAAGACCTACCTGGACAAAATAGTGAGATCCTATCTCTCCAAAATGTACAAAAATTCGCCAGGTGTAGTGGCACAGCCTATAGTCCCAGCTACTTGGGAGGCTGAAGTGGGAGGATTACTTTAGGCCCAACAAATGTATATGTTCAATATAACAGATTCCAGATCAGGCCTGACTTCTTCATTGAATCCCATCATCTGACACAGTGTTTGACACATAGTAACCACATGATTAACAGTAACACAAAGATTAATAAGTGGAAAAGATACTAGAAAGATATACCCTAAAATGTTAATAATGTTTACCAGAGTTTTTTTTACTCTATGTTTGTGTTTATTTTCCAAGTTTTCCACAATAGATTGGAAAGAAGTACAATACATGTTATAAGACTGCATCCTAAAAAATATTAATGATTTTCATGCCATGTCTGTCTACAGAGGAATGAACAGCTATTTTAATTAGTACCAGTGAGTGTTTGCGTTTGATCAGCAGTGCTTACAGAAATTCTGGAAAGGATGGTGGTGGTGGTATGTAAGTGGCAGCTGGTACATTTAGTGCGCATTGGAGGTACATGAAGGGATAATTTCAATGTTAATTACAATATCACTCTACACGTTTGAGAGATCACAGAACTAGAATTGGGGTTATTTGATTGAACAGAGTTGTATAAGCATTGAGGTATTTTCCTTTTTCTTTTCTTTTCTTTTTTTTTTTTTCAGACAGAGTCTTGCTATGTTGCCTAGGCTGGAGTACAGTGGCACGATCTGGGCTCACTGCAACCTCTGCCTCCCGGGTTCAAGCAATTCTCCTGCCTCAGCCTCCCGGGTAGCTGGGACTACAGGTGCCCGCCACCACGCCCGGCTAATTTTTGTATTTTTAGTAGAGACGGGGTTTCACCATATTGGCCAGGCTGGTCTCGAACTCCTGACCTTGTGATCTGCCTGCCTTGTCCTCCCAAAGTGTTGGGATTACAGGCATGAGCCACTGGTGCCCGGCCATACTGAGGTATTTTCTGTAACATTAGATGTGATTTTTGTTTTTTCCAAGTTGGTGACTACAGACATATCCAGGAAATAGGGAAGGGGGCTTCTTTTCTAATCAGATATTTTCCTTAATCCTACTAATGTTCCTTTAAGATATGGATTATCCCATTTTACTGATTTGAGAAGGGAATATTACTTGTGACCATCCTAACACCCCAGCGATTAGCACCTATGCTGTGCTGATACAAAATACACACAGACCCACTTTATGACCTCTAGAATTTTGTTCTAAGGAAAGATGATGGAAATCCTGTATTGATCGTATTGCTGTGCTTGAGGACACTGGATAACTTATTACATTAGTATGGGTTTTGGATATTTGCCTAAAGCCACAAACCTTTTGATGTCCACCTTCTAGCCCTGAGAAATACCTCATCCCTCATATAATTCCTGCAAGTAAGATAAAGCAGGACATCTAATGGAAAATTCTTTGCTCTCCCTGTTCTCTGACTTCAGTTGCATTAAAATTTTTTTGAAATAGTAACTTTGAAAATGATTTTCCAACATGTGTTCCAAATAATTTTTAACACTCTCTAACACAACTAGCTTAAATAATAAAGTAGATGAGAATGATAAAATTTGCCATATTTGGAATAGATAAAATTACTCTAAATAATTATGCAGACTTCAACTTTAAATTTAAACACTATAGGCATAAAATTTTAATATATAAAAATAATTTTATAAACCATACCTGAATGATTTGAATAATTTTTTAAGTGTCTTAGTCTGTTCAGGCTGTTGTAACAGAATGTCATAGACTGAGTGGCTTATAAACAACAGAAACTTGTATCTCACAGTTCTGGAGGCTAGAAAGTCCAAGATCGAGACTCTGGCAGATCCAGTGTGTGGTGAGAGCCTGTTTCCTGGTTCTATAGACAGCTGTCTTTCAGCTGTGTCCTCACATGGCAGAATGGAGCAGAAGAACTCTCTAGGGTTTGTTTTATAAGGTCACTAATCCCACTCATAAGAGTTCCACCCTCATGATGTAATCACCTCCCAAAGGCCCCACCTCCAAATATCATAAGATTGGAGATTAGTTTTCAACATATGAATTTGGTGGGGATGGGGCAGGACCAAAAACATTCAGTCTATAGCACCAGGATGATTTGACTAATTTTTTAAGCAGCTAAAAAGTTTCTTAAATTTTTTAAGCAAATAAAGTGCTAAGAAGAAATACACAAACCTTTAGAATCAGGGGTTTCCAATCTTTTGGCTTCCCTGGGCCACACTGGAAGAAAAATTGTCTTGGGCCACACATAAAATACAATAACACTAACAACAGCTAATGAGCTAAGAAAAAAAAAAATCACGAAGTCTCATAATGTTTTAAGAAAAGTTTACGAAGTTGTGTTGAGTCACATTCAAAGACATCCTTGGCTGCATGCAGGCCATGGATTGGACGAGCTTGCTTTAGATGGATGCACACTGTATCCTAGCAGAATAAAATCATAGCAATCTGCACTGTTAACACTGCCTGTCAATGAATCCTTTGTGGAATGTAGCAATACTGTCTTTTAATATTTCTTAAAACCATGTTTAAATGTAATTGCTAAAAACTAACTTTTCCCCTAAGTGATGAAACTCACAGGACATTTGCCACTAGGTAGCTTTCTATAAAATGACCTTACAGGAGTAATGCTACCTGGTATCACTGATTTTACATTTTTAATTGAATATTGCCCATTATCTCTCCTAAGGTAAAAGAATAAATAAATGCCCATTTACTAAAGTATCTAAATTATTCTCAGAAATAGAAAAACAAGAATGTAAAAATTAGTTTTGATATTTAGATTAATAAAGTGAATAATAAATTTTTAATGTTAATTTATAACATTGTTTTCCCCAGCTATCTGTCTGTCTGCAGAATGGTATTTCTATTTGTATTTCTACATAGCAGCAGTTTGGCTCAGATAAATCATCTAATTCATAATACTGGTAGATGTGCCAAAAAGTCACACAAACCAGAAGGTTCAAAATAATTTCTATCAACTCTGCACAGTATGTTTGAGGAAGAGCAGATTGTTGTAACTTTCCTGCTTACAATCAGGGAGCATTCATAAACAGAGGCATTTAAACGTTTGTGTATATCTGACATTACAGAAACATCAAGAATCAGGTAGGAAAAGTCAATATTTATTGTAATCTATCAGCACTCAGATAATTACAGTAACAAATAATAGTAATAAAATGTTAATAAGTAACATTTTTGAGAACTTACTACATACTAGGCAGTAGTCTAAACACTTAAAAAATTCAGGACTAATTGTTTAAATTTGTTAAGCAAATAAGAATTCTAAGAAGAAATACACAAACCTTTAGAATCGGGGTGTCCAATCTTTTGACTTCCCTGGGCCACAATGGAAGAAGAATTGTCTTGGGCCACATTATCAAAACAATCCTAAATTCCCCCTATTAGACCCAAAACAATCCTAAATTAAACTCAAAACAATCTTAAATTCCCCCACGTATGTAGAGATTTATTAAGCTCTACAAGAAACTATACCAAAAAAAATTTGTTCTTTGTCTTCCTGGAATGTATATTCAAAGAAAAGAAGTGAAAGTAAGATCACCCTCCCTTGCAGTGGCAGTATTTCCCAATTCCTTCCTAGTGAAGGTCTTCTTACATTTTAACAGAGGTACTTGATTTTATATTGGTGTTCTGCAATGTGTGTGTGTGTGTGGAGTGTGTGTGTGTGGAGTGTGTGTGTGTGGAGTGTGTTTGTTTCTTTGGCTGGAGATGCTAACAACTATGATCCAGAACTCAGAGTATTTATGATTTTATTTTATTATAGAGGTTCCCAAATGGTGACAAGTATCTACTTCAGATTTCCTTCTGAAACATCTGGGAATAGGGTGTTACCAAGGAAGAAGAGGCCTCAAAGAATGAGTAAAGGGCAAGTTACAGATAACCGCCAGGGGTACTTTCATGAGATGTCCAATGAGCTCCTCTTTCTATAAGGCATGGCTTTAAAACCTGTCTCTGTGTTACTGTTTCTTGCTGGTTTCCATTGAGAACATGTCCTCCTCCTTACTTGATGCAGGAATCTTTGGCACAAACAAGACTGAGGTAAAAGATCCACTGGGCACCTCATACTTTTTCACAGCCCAAACACAACTCTTCATCTGCCCTTTTCCCAAGCTTGCTCCTGCTCCACTCTTCCCTAGGGCAGTAAAATCAGCCTCGGCCAGGTGTGATGGCTCATGCCTGTAATCTCAGCACCTTGGGAGGCCAAGGCAGGAGGATTGCTTGAGTTCGAGACCAGCCTGGGCAACATGGCAAGACCCCATGTCTACAAAAAACAAAAAATTAGCTGAGTGTAGTATCATGTGCCAGTGGTCCCAGCTATTCAGGAGGCTGAGGTGGGAGGATTGCTTGAGCCCAGAAGTTAAGGCTGCAGTGGGCCATGTTTGCATCACTGTACTGCAGCCTGGGTGACAGAGTGAGACCCTGTCTCAAAAAACTAAGTCTCATTTACCCAGTTGCTCAAGCCAAACATGTAAGCAATTCTCTGATTTCTGTTTTTCTTGGTTTCCACATTCAATCTAGTAATATGTCTATGGTGACTTTACTTTCAAAACATCCCGAATATATCCACCCTGGTCTAAGCTATCATCTTTTTGTGGGCTACTGTAGTAGCCTCCTAACTATCTTGTTTTCCCCACACAGTATATTTCTACCTAAGTGGTATTTTAAAAATGTAAATTATTCTGTGTAAGAGCTAGTAACAAAACAAGTAAACAAAATGTAATGTTCTTCCTCTGTTTAAAACATTCCAATGGCTTCCCATCATGCTTTGGAATAAAATCTCTACTCCTCATTCTGGTTACAAGCCTCCCTCTGTGGCACTATTTCTCTGTCATCCTGTGCTCCCTCTTCACTGGCTACCATGTTCAGGCATCCTTTGTTTCCTCAAGCAAGTTGAGTTTGTATTTTGCCTTAGCACATTTGTACTACGTGCACTTCTCCTGGTTAATTCCTTCCCATCATTGTTATCTTGTGCTGGTTCTTGCTTGTATACTTCCAGGTGATCCTCACTTACTCTTCTCTTGCAAATCACATTCTTTTGGGGATTTGGCCAATGGGAGATACTGGAAGGAGACTGGGAAAAGGGAAGAAGGAAGAAAACAGGACAATTCTCTTCTCTCATTCTCCCTCAACCCCCTTGATATGTCTCTCTGGTTTCACGGACATTATCCAGCAGTGACTAGGTGACTGGGTCTCCTCTGTGGTTCAGTTCTCCACCAGACAGATCCCTCCATAATCCCAAATATTGTACTGCCAAGCACCCGCTCCATGGTGCCACTCCTGCCACAGAGTTGGTCCATGTGACCATCATCTGGGCTTCAGTAACGTCCCTCTGCTAGTGGCTTTCTGCGTTGCTCATGTCTGCCACACTCTATTTGATGCTCAATTCTTCCATCACCTGTGTAGCTACTTCCTTGTGTTCAATTCCCTTTGTTTGAAATACTTAGAGTAGTTTCTGTTTTCCTGACCAAAACTGTTCTCAACTACAGAGTTTTATCATTAGAGCAGCCCTCACTGACCACTGGGTCACTGTCCAGCCCATGTACCCATTTCAGGTCTCTTCATTGCGCTTTTTACTATCTGCTGTTTTTGTTTGTTTATCCATGTATTTGCTTGGTGCTATCTTGCTTATCATTGTATCCCCAGAGTCCAGTATCCTCAGAGCCTAGAATAGTGTCTGATATGTAGTTGGTGTTCAATAAATATTTATTGAGTAAATGAATAAAAGAAATGAATTGAGATTTGGCTAAACAAAATACTACTCAAATGAAGAGATGACATGAATGAAGTGAATGATAAGCAGGCCCCTAAATACAAACTCTAGCCAGTGCGGGGGAAAGAAAATGAGAGAGAAATCAGGCAGAAAAAATGAAAATATTACCGTTTGGGAAGAAAGACAGTGGGTGAGAAGAAAACTAGTATTTATATAGTATCTATTAGCATGCCAGTTGCTTTACACACATGATTTCATTCTGTTCCCACATCAACTCCTATTGGGTAGATATGATCTCTGTCTTACTGAAGAGAAAACCAAGTATCTGAGAGGTCACATGACTCGTAAAATGCACAACAGGATTTAAGCCTACAACATCCCTCGGCTTGATTAGGACAGGCCCAGGAAAGTACATCATAGCCTCAATCCATGCCCATCCCACTTTTATTGTAAATGCAGAATTTTAAGACGCAGATACATAAACTACCATTTCTAAAGAACTTGTTTTATTAATGCTAATTTCTCGTTTGGTGGATTCAAGTCAGGCCTTTAACATGACTTCGACATTGCTTTTATCCTGATTTGCTCTTAAGACTGTTTTATCCTGTTAAACCAATAGCCATCCCTAGTTTAAGAATTTGAGCCATTTTTGAAATTGATTCTCATCTTTTTCTTGCCCTTTCTCCCTCAAATAAATTGAAAGGCATCATGATCCACACCACTAAGTAACCAACGTTATCATAAGCTGAATAAAGTAGGCCTTTGGAATTTTCTTCCAGGTTGACCTCAGAATGAGCCTGTTCTAGTGATTTACTCTGCAGTAAGGAAGGGGTTTAGGGGACAGGCCTACCCCATATATCAGCAGCATCCCATAGAACACTAAGTTGTTATTCAGGTATGTGCTACATATGGCATCAATAGAGAAAGATGGCCTAGTTCCCCTCAAATTTGCCAGGCCCTTTATTTATACTGACATCTGCTATGTTTTGTTGAATTTCATTGAAGAACTCTATTATCTTAAGGAGGACAATTGAATTCTCAGTCCTGTTCTGGGTTTCCTGCATTATGCCAAGGTCTGAAAGTGGTGGATGATGTTACTGTTTTGCAGCTTATAAGGAAATTGAGAAATAAAAGCCCAAAGTGGTGGAGCAAATCATTTTTTCCTAATGCTAATTTCTCATTTGGTGGATTCAAGTCATGCCTTTAACATGACTTTGACATTGCTTTTATCCTGATTTGTTCTTAAGACTGTTCCCTATCCCCAAACGTCATGCTCGCAGACACTGAAGACTTACAGCAAACAAACAAATCATGGAAATTAAATAGCAATAAAACTGTTGTTGGCTTCATGTAAAAATATTATCCAGTATTTAAATGGCGATTATTTCCAGAAACTTGGCAATTGTAACCATACAAATGATGAAATTGATTCCAGTCACAGTCCATCTTTGTTTGGAAAGGAAATACCAGTAGTGTTTGAAAAATGGGTTATTAAAGACCTTGGTTTGCTGAAGGTGGCTCATATCTTCTATTTGCTAACACAGCATCTTGTTGGGGAAAAAAAATAATAAGTGCAGCTTTTCCCTATCCCAGATTATTTTCACTATGGATCTTCAGAGCAGGAAATAAAAAACAGCTAATGGTCATGGGGCATGTGGAATTACTTTAAGCAAAGCTGAACCCTGGTCCTGCTGACCACCTCCTCTTTCCTGTGCTGTTTTGTCTATGCTAGCCTTAGAATATATCAACAAATCTCTTTTAAGCTCAGATGGGGAGAAGGGATGGTGATTCTCTCTTTCTGTAAGGGAGTAATTTACAACAGATGTGCCTTTTTAGAAAGGTATAAGTTTGTCTTGTAAAATATTTGTAAAGAAAAATAGCCTCTGGACTTCACAAAGCAGTCCTTACTTGGTTGTGGAGATGTCACAAAGAGCATTGTTTTTCTAATACTAATATGATTCTTTTCTCACACGATTTGATTATAACTCAAGGTTAGTTTTGGGGAAGACCCAAGTTTAAATATCTAAAACAATGTACCGAAAAAATACCATATGGGACTCGACAACTTTTTGACAGTGACCTGAAAGGAGCCCAATTTCAACCATGAGACATGGGTTATAGTCCCAGGAACTCTTTTTAACTAGTAATGAAAACTTAGCTTCTCCAAGCCTCACTTTCCTGATCTGTAAAATGGAGGAACCATATGACCCTGCCACCTCAAGTGGAAAGATAAATTAAAAATGCTTTATAAGCCATAAAGTCCTATAAAAGATGTGATTATTTTCATAACAAATCTATTTAAGAAAAAAAAAACTTTGCGGGCCCCATACCTTGTGTATATGACTTTTTGTAACTTATACAAAAGACATAATCATAATAAAAGAATCGGAATCTTTCTTTGGTTAAAAACTGCACTAGTAAGTATATTAGCAACAGAACTTGTGCTATTTAAGATTAAATAACTCTGGCGCTGATTCAGCCATGAGGCTTACTGAAGAACAGCTGATTCTGATAGTTTTAACTGAATAAGCATTAACAGATAAAATCACATGATAAAAGGCATGCATCTTATGAGTATAACCAGTGGCCTTCAGAGGACATACAACTTCCAGTGGGTGGGGAATATTGTAAACAAATGAACATTCTGCTCAGGTGCCATTTTTCAAGTCCCATATCTCAGATGAGAACAAACACAACTGGAGGCACCCAAGGAGAGTGAGCACAAATTGAGGCAGAAGTTTGAGGGGGATCTTTAGGCAACTGATCTTTAGTTTCTTCAAGCTGGGAATGAGAATAATATCCATCACCCTCGTGTGAATAGTTGTAAGGATCATATATGATGATACATATGACAAAGAAGTTTTACAAGCATGAAATAATATTCCTGAGATATAAAGGAGAAAATTCTGTTGTCTTTATTAAGATTTAATACAATTTAACTTTTAAAAGTGTTGTAGGATTTCCTTTTTCAGTCTCTTCAAGTTGTTAATAATATTAACGACTAATATTTACCAAGCACTTCCTATGTTCCAGATATTTATGGATTTTATGGCTTCAATGGATTAAACTAATTTAATTTTATAACCATTGCAAAGGTAGGTTGAATTATTATCCTCATTTTACAGATGAAGAAGTTAATAAATTGCTCAAAATCACCTAGCTAAGAAAATGATGGAAGCAGCATTTGAACCATACTTAGCAAGAGAGCCAGTTACTAAGAAATCTACTCATCTTCTAAATATGGTCATCTAGTACCCACCTCCTTCTCTAAACTCTCAACTGCCTTCTCAGCTCTGCATTTGAACTTTCAACCATGTTCAAACACATATTTGAAAATGAAGTAAACAATTTCAAAAGAAGTTTTTTTAAAAACAAACGTACATCCTACAACTTTTTCATTAGAAGTTGAGATTTAAGAAACACACACAAAAAACCTAGCCCAGCATTTGCTATCTGGAATCAGAAACAAGCTCAGTGTTTCTGAGCTCACTCAAGCTTTGGTATTCTCACTCAAGCTTTAACTACTGAGCTTGTAGAAAGAGCA
Organism: Homo sapiens; assembly: GCF_000001405.40. NCBI lineage: Eukaryota > Metazoa > Chordata > Mammalia > Primates > Hominidae > Homo > Homo sapiens. The sequence goes on along the minus strand of NC_000005.10, from coordinate 94,725,350 downwards.
GGAGAAATTCCACCCACCAACTATTCTCAAATAAGCTTTCAATGGACTCTGAAGGGCAGAGACTATTCACAGTCCTTTTTATCTTATCTGTAAAATGAGTAAACCTAACCAGGAGGGATTTTAGTAAACATCTTATTTCACCTTTTTTTTCTTTTCTTTTCAAATGAGGTCTAAGGACAGGCAGTGACCTGTAATCCTGAGTGTGCTTCCACATTTTCTTGTGCTTTATTTTCAACCTAATTCACAGGTTCACGTGCTTTCACATTTCAAAACCTTTCCACAATCTGTTCATTTTGATTTTACAGAAAACCCTGTGAGGCATACAAATTCTTATCTCAAAACTTGTGTTATCGTGGTTGAAAGTAGCCTTTGTTACTTTTTTTTTTAAATCTCTGGATACTTGGGAGCCTCAGCCTCACAGCTTCTGTTGTGGCTTCTATCAGAGTTAGCCTAGAACTAGTCCTCTTTGGCCCTTTCACTTGGAGTCCATCTGAAAGCAGAACTTCTGGGACAAAAGCCTGAGATGGGATAATCTATAAGGCCCCTTTTTCCTGGCTGCTGGCTGGGCAATTAAGTCAAAGGTTTTGATATTGATATTGATAAGGTTCTTTTAAGATCTTTCAAATACAGGTCCCTGGGTAACTTTGAGAGATCTATTCCAGAACCTCCCATGGATACCAAAATCATATCCAAAATCTGTGAATGCTCAAGTCTCTGATGTAACCCATTGGTCAAATCGATGGATGCAAACCCATTGTGTGGAGGGCTGACTATATTTGCAGGACAGTTAAAAAGGGTTTTCTTGGCTGGGTGTGGTGGTCCTGTAATCCTAGCACTTTGGGAGACCAAGGTGGGAGGATTGCTTGAACCCAAGAATTTGAGACTAGCCTGGGCAACACAGCAAGACCCTGTCTCTACCAAAAAAAAAAAAAAAAAAATTAGCCAGACGTGGTGGTGCACACCTGTGGTCCCCGCTACTCAAGAGGCTGAAGTGGGAGGATTGCTTGAGCCTAGGAGGTTGAAGCTGTAATGAGCTGTGATGGAGCCACTGCACTCCAGCCTGGGCAACAAAGCGAGACCTCATCTCAAAGCAAAAGTTGGGGGGTTCTTCAGTCTTTGGCTCCAGGGAACTCTCCCTCCTGACAACAAGTCCATCTGTATTGCTGGATGCTTGCTGTAAGGTTTATTTACATTTATTAAAAAATATTTTATGTACAGCCTTTTACAAATAATTTTTGTTGAATTAGAAGTTAATATGGTTAGCAAGTTTTGTTTCTGTCTTGACTTTATGTCATTTGTGTTTCTGACCAGAGACATTTTCCTTCCCTTTCTCATAGTCAGTCAACTTCTCAGTCTTCTCATCTTCTTCCATCCGTTAGAGTATCTCTTTCCGTGTTTTCCTCTCCCTCTTCTCCTTTGTGTCTTCCTCTCTCTCTCTTTTCTTCCTTCTTTCTCTTTCCTCACTTTTTCTTTTTTTTCCATTCTTTCCTTCCTGGCTTTTATTTTAACATTTAGAGTGCCAGCTGCCACTTAAAAATGCCTGTTGTTTGCATTGTCTAGCCCAGGGTATATTTCTCTCCAAATTCTTTTTACATTACAATCACCTTTAAAGTTGCATGCAAATTACATGTATAAGATTAAGCCAACAAGGTAAAGCACAACTAAATGCTATCATAAATTATGTAGTAGAAATGAGCTCTGAAAAGCATAAGGCTGCCTTGCAAAAGAGGAAGCAAATATTAAAACCAGGTAAAGACTCATTCTGCAAAAAAGCAAAAACAAAACAAAAAAAAAACTCTGCCAAGTCAGCAGAAGGGAAAAAAAATCTCAGTGTAACATTATAAAGAATTTACCATCATTTTCTAAAATAGACTCTGACAAGTTAACACTGAGTCACCTGGTACAAAACTAAACATGCATAAAATGTTTCATATAGTTGAGAATTCCCTCTAATATCTCAAAATTTTGTTTTTAACATAAGCCAAAATGTTTGAGAACTGTTTTAAGAGAAAAATATACTATCTTGTTAAAAGGTGTCCATTTATCCTGTTAACCTTAAATATCCTGTTAACCTTAAATAACTTCAGTGTCTCAATAGAGTGTTTCTATTTTTCAAGGCTAATATCAGGAAGAGAGGCAAGGCACCAAGTAAACTGCACAAGATTTGATACAGTAAGAACTGAGTAAGACACTTAGATAAGATTCAGTAGCCAAGGGACTCTGAATTGCCAAACTGCTGAGAATTTCAGTATTCTAGATTTCAGGTTGAAACATGTTTTTTTTATATCTGAAAAAGAAGAAAGATTGGCACAGAGAAAACATTTGATCACTTCTTTTTGTGCCTTTATCCACTCCATACTTCTCATCTAATGTATTTTCCTTAGGTTGGAATTATAGATCTGAGAGGAAGTCTATTTTGCATGGCACCTGACTAAGTGAACTAGAGAAAGTAGTGCACCAAAACCATCTTTAGCATCCATCACGGGAAACATAAACATATTCCAAACATAATTTTAGACGTTGTGCTATGTGAGTCTATACTTGTCCAAAGAAGAGCTCCAATCAATGGTAAACTATAATAAATAATTATGTCTCATAGAAAATATGAACCTTACCATTCACCTTTTGCCAAAGGTTATGTAAGCAAGACTTTAAAGGAGAAGCAAAATTATGATAAAGATTAATTAGCTCTTTGGGATAGAAGGTATCTCAAATCCAAATACTTCCTCCAGGAAATAATAAGGTGACCATATGCCTTGGTATATATAGTTCCATTTTATGTTCATTATCGTAGCATAAGATTTAACAGCTCTCCCTTTCTCTGAAGACTCTCTCACCTTAGGAAGTGAAATAACATTGATTTTATAATAGTAATATTTGTAGCAAATATATTCTACATACCTGCTAATTCTGATTAATACAGCACAGGTGTTCAACAGATAACTTCTCAACATGGTTGACAATGACCACTATGGCAGGGTTCCTAAATGTATTAATGACTAAGCTAGGACACAGCTCGGCAGGAAAAACCAGTCCCAGAATATTCACCCCGATGTCTATCACTTTGGCTTCATGTTCCCATTTAGAACAGACTCAGTGAAGGGGAGAATCTGTCATTTTGGCTTGAAAGTCGATGAACAGGATTCTTCGAATATGTAAGGTATGCCTATTGATTATTTAGGTCTTTAGATTTTCTTAAATATCTCAAAACTAGGTGGTAGGTACTTCTTTGGAAGAATCTAGTTAACTTTCTGTTGCAATATGTCATAGTAAAGTAGGCATATATTAAAGAATCACTGTACTTCAACTTTTACAGTTAGTGATGTTTTAGGGACTATTTAAAACCTAGTAAGAGAGCTTTTAGAAATATTGTATAGAATCATTAGAAATAGTTGTGCAATATAAATCTCACATATTCTCAGATTCATGGTTATAGCTGTTGTTGTGGATATTTTTTTTTTTTCACCTTCAAAAGAAACCTTAATAATGCATTAAAAAAAAAAAAACAAAACAGTGTCACTACCAAGACTGGGTGATTAACTACTCTATGATATTTCTTTCATCCAAGCTGCTTTATAAAGTAAAGCAAAAACAACAATAAAGGAATGTACCAATTTATTCTCTACAATAAAGTATTGAACATTATTGAAAAAAGTATGAAATATTGGAATGCAACACAGCAATTCCATTATCCATTGCAGTTTTGGGTCATATACTTTATAGAAAGAGTAATTACTTCATTGATTGGAGACCACAATGAAAGAATATAGAATTTGATGACAGATTTTAAAAGGAAAATTTTATCCCAAAGCATTTGCTTTTCAAAACTGCACCAACATTACAAACCATATTATTTTGTCTTTTGGCAGTTGAGGGTAAGGGAGTGGCGGTGGACTGGGTGGGAGTGCAGTAGTAACAAAGCAAATGAAGAATGAGCGAATATTTAAAAATCCTTAGCCAATAATCATACATCAGCACTTGGATTTTAAAGTGGCTATTAAAAATTTTCTTCACAGATGCCTCAAGTGACACATCTTATTAATGAAGGTCCTGCATTTAATATTTGCTTACCTGCATTTAATATTTGCTTACCTTATTGACATTAAATGTGGTGGTTTCTAACACATCTTTCACTTTCTACCTTCAAATCAAGTTTCTGGATTTCATTCTCTTGCTCAAGATTTTAGCTCTATGGTGATTCTCAAGGCTAGATTATGGTGTCTGCATTTTCGAAACATTTTGAAATCATTTTTCTTTATCTCAAAGGAATTCTTTGTAGGAACTGAAACCTTCCTGGATTGAATAGGAAGGTCATATGGTTATTATAGAGTATAGGCTCTGGAGTTAGCCAGGCATTGTCCCAACCCAAGTTCTGTCACTTTTTCCTGAGCCTCAGTTTCCTCTTCTGTAGAGTGGAGAAAAATAACTACATTGTAGGATGGTTGTGAGTATTGGATGAATTATGAGAAAAGTACTTTACACTACTTAATGAGTGTCTGTTTATATTCCATTTCTTTCCAAAAATAATTTAAGATAGCTTATAAAAATATTAAAAATAGACAAGCCAAGTACCAGTTCATTTATTTCTTCTAACCATCTTCCTTTAGTAACATTAAAGAAAATTGGGGAAATATTCTTATTACAAAAGTAAAATATGAATTGCAAACAATTTGAATATTACAGGAAGGTATGAAGAAGATAAACTTCCATTACTGGAATATTTTCATGCATCTCCTTCATCCTTTTTTTCCCCAACATAGGCATTTTAAACCTAAATTAGGATTACACTATATATATTAGATCATAAGCGTTTTTGATGTCATTATATATTCTTTCTAAATATTTTCTGATTTCATAATCTATCAATTGTATGTACTATAATCTCATCCAACATACTATTAGTCTTTTTGTTATAAACAAAAATGCAATTAAAACATTTTCAGATGTTTACTATTTTAGAAATATCATCCCATCATTTGTAGCATTTGTTGATTTTTTTTCCCACTTAGCCTTTTAAATTTATGACTTTTGACATGTTTTAAATTTTATGTAACCATTGCTATAAATTATTTTCCTTTGTAATTTATTTTATTTTTTGTATGTTTAGAAAGTTCTTTCCTATTCCAAGGTCAGTAAATAACTTCCCTGTATTGTCTTTTTATAATTCATTTTTGCTTTTAACTTTTTTAAAATTTTTATTTTATTTTTATTTATTTATTTTTTTTGAGAGGAGTTTCGCTCTTGTTGCCCAGGCTGGAGTGCAATGGCGCGATCTCAGCTCACCGCAACCTCTGCCTCCCAGGTTCAAGCGATTCTCCTGCCTCAGCCTCCTGAGTAGCTGGGATTACAGGCATGCACCACCACGCCCGGCTAATTTTGTATTTGTAGTAGAGACGGGGTTTCTCCACGTTGAGGCTGGTCTCGAACACCTGACCCCAGGTGATCTGCCTGTCTCGGCCTCCCAAAGTGCTGGGATTACAGGCATGAGCCACTGGGCCCAGCCAAAAATTTTAATTATATTTTAAGTTCTGGGACACATGCGCAGGACATGCAGGTTTGTTACATAGGTAAACATGTGCCATGGTGGTTTGCTGCACCTATCAACCCATCACCTAGGTATTAAGCCCTGTATGCATTAGCTATTTATCCTGATGCCCTCCCTCCCCACATTGCTCCCCGCACACCACCTGCAGATCCCAGTGTTTGTTCCCCTCCCTTTGTCTATATGTTCTCATTGTTTAGCTCCCACTTACATGTGAGAACATGTGGTGTTTGGTTTTCTGTTCCTGCATTAGTTTGCTGAGGATAATGGCTTCCAGCTCCATCCATGTACCTGCAAAGGACATGATCTAGTTCCTTTTTTATGTCTGCATAGTATTCCATGGTATATATGTACCACATTTTCTTCATCCAGTCTATCACTTATGCATTGTTGGTCATTTGGGTTGATTCCATGTCTTTGCTTTTGTGAATAGTCTGCAATTAACATACATGTGCATGTATCTTTATAATATAATAATTTATATTCCTTTGGGTATATACCCAGTAATGGGAATGCTGGGTCAAATGGTATTTCTGGTTCTGGGTCTTTGAGGAATCACCACACTGTCTTCCACAATGGTTGAACTAGTTTACAGTCCCACCAACAGTGTAAAAGTGTTCCTATTTCTCCATAGCCTTGCCAGCATCTGTTGTTTCTTGACTTTTTAATAATAGCCATTCTGACTGGCATGAAATAGTATCTCATTGTGGTTTGGATTTTTATTTCTCTAATGATCACTGATGTAGAGCTTTTTTTCATAAGTTTGTTGGCTGTATAAATGTCTTTTGGGCTGTGCACAGTGGCTCACGCCTATAATCCCAGCACTTTGGGAGGCCAAGGTGGGTGGATCACCTGGGGTCAGGAGTTCGAGACCAGCCTGGCCAACATGGTAAAACCCCATCTCTACTAAAAATACAAAAAATTAGCCAGGTGTGGTGGCACATGCCTGTAATACCAGCTACTTGGGAGGCTGAGGCAGGAGAATTGCTTGAACCTGGGAGGCGGAGGTTGCAGTGAGCCAAGACTGCACCATCGCGCTGCAGCCTGGGCAATAAGAGCGAAACTTCATGTCAAAAAAAATAATAATAATGTCTTCTTTTATGAAGTGTCTGTTCATGTCTTTTGCCTACTTTTTAATGATTTTTTTCTTGTAAATTTAAGTTCTTGTAGATTCTGGATATTAGACCTTTGTCAGAGTGATTGAAAAAATTTTCTGCCATTCTGTGGGTTGTCTGTTCACTCTGATTTCTTTTGCTGTGCAGAAGCTCTTTAGTTTAATTAGATCCCATCTGTTAATTTTTGCTTTGGTTGCATTGCAACCAAATCAAAATGTTCGCTTTAGAAGTTTTTGTCATGAAATCTTTGCCTGTGAGTATGTCCTGAATGGTATTGTCTAGATTTTCTTCTAGGGTTTTTATAGTTTTGTGTTTTACATCTAAGTCTTTAGTCCATCTTGAGTTAATTTTTTATAAGAAAGGGGTCCAGTTTCAATTTTCTGCATATGGCTAGCCAGTTTTCCCAGCACTGTTTTTATATAGGGAATCCTTTCCTCATTGCTTGTTTTTGTCAAGTTTGTCAAAGATCAGATGGTTGTAGATGTGCGGTCTTATTTCTGAGATCTCTTTTCTATTCCGTTGGTGTATGTGTGTTTTTGTACCAGTACCATGCCATTTTGGCTACTGTAGCCTTGTAATATAGTTTGAAGTCAGGTAGCATGATGCCTCCAGCTTTGTTCTTTTTGCTTAGGATTGTCTTAGCTATACGGGCTCTTTTTTGGTTCCATATGAATTTTAAGGAAGTTTTTTCTAATTTTGTGAAGAAGGTCAGTGGTAGTTTGGGAATAGCATTGAATCTTTAAATTACTTTGGGTAGTATGGCCATTTTCACAATAATGATTGTTCCTATCCATGAGCATGGAATATTTTCCCATTTGTGTCCTCGCTGATTTCCTTGAGCAGTGGTTTGTAGTTCTCCTTGAAGAGGTCCTTCCCTTCCCTTGTTACCTGTATTCCTAGGTATTTTATTCTCTTTGTAGCAATTGTGAATGAGAGTTCATTCATGATTTGGCTCTCTGCTTGTCTATGGTTGGTGTATAGGAATGCTAGAAATTTTTGCACATTGATTTTTATATCCTGAGACTTTGCTGAAGTTGCTTATCAGCTTAAGCTTTAGGATTGAGACAATAGGGTTTTCTAGATATAGGATCATGTCATCTGCAAACAGAAACAGTTTGACTTCCTATGTTCCTATGTGAATACCCTTTATTTCTCTCTCTTGCCTGATTGCCCTGACCAGAACTTCCAATACTATGTTGAATAGGAGTGATGAGAGAGGGCATCCTTGTCTTGTGCCAGATTTCAAGGGGAATGCTACCAGCTTTTGCCCATTCAGTATGATATTGGCTGTGGGTTTGTCATAAATGGCCCTTTTTATTTTGAGGTATGTTCCATCAATACCTAGTTTATTGAGTTTTTAACTTGAAGGGATGTTGAATTTTATCGAAGGCCTTTTTCGCGTCTATTGAAATAATCGTGATTTTTGTCTTTAGTTCTGTTTATGTGATGAATTACTTTATTCATTTGTGTATGTTGAATCAGCCTTGAATCCCAGGGATGAAGCCAACTTGATTATGGTAGATATTGTTTTTAACTTCTTAACATTAATATGGAATGTATTTGGGGCTATTTGAGGCACATATTAAGATAGATTTTGGCTATCTATCTCAGATGTGAATGTCTATTTTAGGTAGGATTTAACATAACTTTCCCCAAATAGTTAACGCAACTACCCAATAACAACACTTCCTTATTTCCTTTGTGCATGGCACCTTATCATATACCAATCTTTTGATGCCCATATCTCATTTTAATTAAATACTGGGTACACTGAATGCCTTCTCATGATTTCTCTTTTGTAAAATTTCTTAGCTATAGTTACCTATTTGTCCAACAAACTTTAGAAACATTATTAAGTTCTCCCCGTTTTCTCCACTCTAAACATTAGGATTTGCTTGAAATTTCATTAAGCCTATATATTCAACTAAAAAAAAAAAAACTTTTTATATATTTCGTAAATTTCCTGCTGAGGTTTTACCTAGGTATTTCATATATTTTGTTACTGTGAAATAGTTTTTCACATAATTTTGAGCTGAAAGACATTCTCAATGGACTTTCATTGTACAACCAGCATGCTTCAACTCGTTTGACTTATTCTGTATGTGGTTAAATATTTATGAGTACTTTGCTTCATAGACATAAATGAACTTAGCTGGTGCTTGAGATGAGAATACTAAGGGACACACAGTTGGGGCAGACGAACTTTGCAGTTTTGAAAGGAACAGGAAAAAGCCACTAGTTATTCATTTTACTCTAACGTGCACAATTGTATAGGTGAAACTAACTTTTTTTTTTTTTTTACTGGAGAGTGTGAAAGATAAATTGATGCACCAACGTCTGTCATGACAAGTGAATGGTGACTTCTGAAGACAGTAGGGAACCCTAAGTAGCTAACTAGCTGTTCCCAATACTGTTATTAAGCTTTATGCGTCTCGTCTAATTGACAATCCATTTTGGCATAAGCAAGATGAATAATAGACAAATTTCTCCCATGTGAATTAAATTTAAAATTAAGGCTCTAAGTAACTGGTATCTATAACAAAGATCGTTATAAAACTGGCCTCCATGTCCTTGGTCCCAGTGTACCCTGTTGTCCTTGGAGGAGGCACACACATCTGTCATTCACTTGCCCGCAGTTTCTGAGGTGGCGGGAGGCCAGCCCTGGCCAAGTGTTCACACTGTAGAGTGCTTTAGACTCTTCTGAAATGAAAGTCAGTATGTAAATGTGCAACATGACATTATTATTCTAGCTTCCTGGCTGCTTTCAGCAAGCACTGACTGCCACATGAGGTCTCAAGTGTTCTGGCATAGTGTGCAAGTGTTCAAAAGAAGTTAAAGTAATGAAATTGGATCTACATTTCCATAGATATTCAAGCTGGCATGGAGGAATGGAGTCATAGAATCAGGGTTGGATGGTCTCCACTAAACAGCCTAGGCAAGTGCCTGTGATGCCAGGCTACTAAGCAGAATTTTCAATTGTGAAAGGCCACCACTGTTTCTTCCTTTGGGTCTAAAATTGCAAAATATGCACATTTCTCCTAGGGTCACACCACTCTCTAGGTGCTTTAATGCTCAATCTCTACCCATCCATTACCTGGAGCACACCAGCTTTGCTTAAATTCAGTATGTTTTAAAATGAACTAAGCACCAAAAGGGGAAAAAATGTTTAGTTAGAACCTAATACAGCATATACTACCGTATAAAATATATGACTAGACTATTATTTTTAAGAAGGTGGTCAGGCTTAGTTTGTATATGATCTAAGCAGTATCCACATAGTGGATTCCAGGTTTTGGTGGTGGTGTTTTTTTTTTTTTTTTTTTTTTTTTTGTAGTTTTCATTGCTCACAAATCTCAAGTGCATCCAGCATTCTCTGCTGCTGAAATATCTGGAGCCACAACAAAATTTGGGTTTATGGGCAGTGCGGTCAAGAAACTGGGTCCACTAAGTAGTGTATCAGTGGATCCAGAGGCACTGTAGAATCCGGGTTTGGTAATTCTGGGACCTCCCCTCTCTCTTATACCTTCCTCCCCAAAATGTTTCTTCTGCTCATCAGGGCAAGAGCAAAGGAACCCGAGGCTCTTGCTTTGCAGCCATCTTTACAAGCACAAATCCATGATGCTGGGTCCCCTTCCTCCTCATCTTCCTTTAAATCCTGATATTTTCATGGGTTCCAATTATCCATTTATAACCACACGAAAATGAAGTTTATTTAAGTTTAAAAATGTAACAGAGGGACAACACAAAGAATTCAAGCAATGAAGAATACCTTTACTCATACAGAATTTCTTTTTTATTGCATTTTAGGACAGTGAAAAAAAGGGATTTATAAATAAAATCTATGCCATCCAGGAGGTATGTGTCAGTGTCCAGAACATCCTAGATGAAGTGGCTTCCTTTGGCGAAAGGATAAAGAAGTGAGTGACGGTGACCTGTGAGCCCCATTCTTCTGTGGGATAAGGTGTCCATTTGTTTCTTGGAGGGTGAAATGCCACATTCTTTTTGGCAGGGGACACTCCTTCTGGGTGCTCTATTGCTCAGTTTCATCATTATTTACTTTATTTCTGCCAGTCTTTGGCTTTATGAAAGTTCTGTCAATTTCCTTCCTGAAATTTAGAACATATTGGTTGGAAAGAAGTCATACTTGTAGCTTTGAAGAAATAACACCGTCCTAAATTTTAGCACATTTTTCACTGTGAAAGACTTTGTTCTTAAATGGAATATGAAATTGTGATAGGAAAAAAATAAACCAAGCTAAATGAGGACTTCAGGTAATTAAGATACACCTGTATTTTACTATTGGTCTAGTTATATTTTCATCAAGTGACACTAAATTTTTTAAAAAATTAATCATATTTATGGTACCCTGCAAAAATATTTTTTTCAAGTTTGTATTTAAATAGCTGAGATCCATAATTATCAATAAACTAATGCTCTGTCATTTAGAAAATGCACACAATTTTTAAAATTATAAAAACAGAATCCCTTTTCCTTAACTTTTTAAAATAAAATAAATATAGCTTCACTGAGCTCTAATGCAAAATTAAGAAACTTACATTCTTATATACGTATGTGTTTTATCTAAACTAATGTTATATTTTTTTTAAAAGGTGTATTTACAGCAATTATCAGTTAAAAGATATAAGACCCTCATACTTCTAAATTATGTAAAAATTGGCCTACATAATGATTGCTAATGGTCTATTCAAGAAGGGGTGCCAAATTCTGGACAAACCTTTATTTTCCTAGTATAATGTATCTCTTCATTGTTTGTTATTCATAGCCAGAAGTTTTCTACAGATTTGAATCCTTGGGCATACATAGAATTTGAAAGGAGTAAATTATTTAAACTAAAGGTGTGAGTCATTCATCTCGTGCCTTTCATGTTGTAAGGGATAATGCATTTTATTTTGTATATTTCCACATGTCTAGGTGCTGAGTTTCCACTTTCTTACATTAGACAGAACAGCCCCCATCTCACTCCGAGATGTGCCTTTAGGAAACATTCAGTCTTGGATTTCAGAAGACTATTCCCGTATCTTTTCTCTCTCCTTCTTCCTCTCATCTCTAAGAATGTTTACCTGTCCTCCACACGCTATCCACTGAAACAGTGTGAAGCCCTCAATTTGGGGCATTTCCCCATTGAGTGCTGTCTTTCTTTTATCTGGGGTACACAGTGTGCTGATACCTGACAGAAACATCTCATTTATACCAAAAGACCATGGATCAGGCAGTGAATGCCTGAGAGGAAGAAACTCCTTTGTAACTCTAGGTGGTAGAAGGCCTCAGAGCAGATGCTTGGCTGGAAAACATGACTAGCTGAGGGATATGACCAGATCTTGGCAGTGGTTCAGCCTTGGGGAAACCTGGGTTTTGTAGAACTTCCTATGCTAAGGTACAGGAATATGGCACAGGGGCCAGTGAGTCTTGGAGGAGCCATCTCTCCCGCAAAATGATCTTTTGGATGCTAAAAAAAAGAAATTCTCCTGGGGGTCACATGGAATTAAAAGCATCTACCCAGAAAGCAGACTCAAAAGCAATCTTTAAGCACAAAATGAAAGGGCTCTATACTTACCATGTCTTGTTACTAAATAATCATTCCAGAACTTTCTTGAATTGCATCCCTTTTTGGGGGAAGATCATATTCTAGATTTAGATTCCATAATGCAGAGTGTAGAAATAGAAAAGGGCAGTTTTATTTTATTTTATTTTTTCTAACAGCTACACTGGTGGGGATTCTTTGCCATTTATCCTTCCAATAGGAGTAAGGAGAACACAGGGAGTTCTTCAGTGGGGCTGCCCAGAAGGAAGGTTTTCTGAGTGAAGAGCCAGTGCCCTCACACGTGGAGTCGTGTGATGGATGACTCTGAGCTGAGCCACAGGAAAGCAAGCAGATCCCCTTAGCCTTCTGTTCTCTCCACAAGCAAGCAGAAGCAAGGGAGGCACAGGTATCCATCAGGAAGGGAAGGCATGATCCTTTACCTGGTGAGTTGCAGATGCTCACTCTTGACCATAAGAGGAAGAAGACAAAGACAGAAAAGCCAGACACCAGGGATTACTGAAAATAGGATAACCAGATTGACCCAACATTGGCTCTTTTAGTAGAAAAAAATTTTAGGAAACAATTTTGACCTAGAGAGAGACAAAAAGCAAGCTACATGCCACAAAGGTAAGGAACAACTAATTCCTAAGTATTATGCTGAGGCATTGTATAGAAGAAAATCTCTTTAGCAATCATCCTTTATTGGGTCAAAATTGCCCTGAAAAAAAAAAACTCACCTCAAGTAAGTACAATATACAATACCAGGAAATTAGAAGAAATAAAAAACACATTTATCCACATGAACAATATGTTTTGCTGAAGTGTCTTAGGGGCCTTCTGTCTCATAAGAAAAAAGTGCCATAAATGAGATTCCTTGAGTTGATTAGTTCTAATAATTTCATCTTGATTCACATAAACATATTACCATCACAACCAGTCTTCCTTGACAGAATAAAAGCTATCCCCATTTTATAAATGGGGAAAAGGTTAGAGAGGTTGACTCAGCTAAATCCACATAATAGAATCTAGGCTTTGAATACAAATCTGCTAACTTCTTGGCTCTCATGCTAAAGGGTCAGAGGACATGATATGTTTGTTAGTTCCTCTTTAGTGGATGAACACTTAGGAGAAATTTCAAAGAATGCAATGGTATGCCTGTAAATGGTGATATATTTATATGCCCAACCCTGGAGGCTCTACACAGTGTTTCTATTTTCTTTATGATTTTGGCACACTCTTAAGAAGTACCAGACTGGATTCCACACAAAAAGCCTTAAGTGATTATAATCTTCCCATGTTCCAGTTCCCTGATTTTCTACTTTTAAAAACATTTTTACATCATGGTTTTTGCCTTTGTCTTCATTTTTCTTTTCCCTTTTTGTCTCAGTAAATTCCTTCCCATCTCCTCAGTACTTTTTTTTTTTGTAACTTCTACTTCTGTTCATTGGTCTCGTTTCCATTTGTTATCATGTCTTGTTGTCAATACTGAGTCTTGCAGCCTTCTCTGACCCAGTCCTCTACGTTACCAATTACTTTTGCCAGAATGCTGTCCTTCACAAGGAGTACATGAGAGATAATAGTAAGCAATGCTGATTTTATTAATTATCTATGTACTTCTGGGAAGAAGGGCAGTAAGAGGTGAATTTTTGCAAGGCTGTTTTGTTCCTCTTTCCTGATTTCCAGTTCTATTTCAAACATAGCTGAGGTAGGACAAGTGAGTAGTTTAAGGAATTCTAACATTCAGAGGATTTTTAACACAACCATGTAAGAGTTACATCTACCAAGAGTTGCTGGCAACATTTTATTCCCAATATGGGGAATACTGAGAGTTGATAGAAGGAAGAATGGTGGGTCCAGGGGCATTCCCCTCTGAAAAGCCAGAGAAAACAAGGATGGGTACTAGTCTTAGCAGTAGAAAAATAAAGAAGAAAAATAAAGATCTTCTTTCATGTGGGGAGTCACCCAAGTAGCACAATGGCTTTAGACTCTGAAGTCACCTGGAACAATCTGGAGGAGGTGGCAGCAAGACTCTTTACTTGGGCCCTGTGTTCATGGAACTGAGCAGATTATGGCTAGCCTGCGTCCTCTGATAACCTATTACAATTGGAATCTATTCCAGAGAGAAATGCAGACTAACTAGGTCCCAAGTTAGAATCATATGTATTTTAATATTTGAAAAAAGTATGAAGTACTCAGATTGCTGATGTGTTAATTTTCCATTCAGTACTTTCAACTGGACTGTCCCATTCTTAAGCTGGCTGGCCATTGTAGCCCTCTGTGTGTTCACAGCCATCCTGTACTGCATTCCGCTGAGATACATTGTCCTTGTCTGGGGTAAGTAAAGCCTCCCCCACTCCCCCAAACTGTCTTAGCTGCTAAGAACAAACTATGTTTAAGAGATGAGTTACACTGTCAGCAGTTCCCTGTATTTATGGTCATGAAGCTACTCCATGATGAAAAGAGACAGGTTGGTTAAAAATCACAACAGTATAAAGATTTAGGTCCACCTGCAAAATGTATTTTTCTTATCTGGCACACTAGGCTTCATCATACTATAAACATGTTAGTTGTGCAGATTCTTCATATATCAAAGTGTAGCTTTGTCTAGATATCCCTCTGATTTATTTTCACCATTTATATACAAACAGAGGCATTTCAATCCATATGGTGCATTTAGGAAAATATGCTTTTTTTGCTGTTGTATTTTATCTTGTGGAATATATGTAAACATGGTACTATACATGGCTGCCTGTTTAAGAGGTCACCTTTAGCATTCGGGAAAAGGGTCCTTGGTACTTGCAGGTTCCTTAGGAACAAAAGGATCCTTTTATGTGTACTAAACAAGAATGTTTCTATAAAGACCTACATCAAAGGTGATTTTTTTCGGTCCTAATTTTTAATGCAACTATGCTGCATGCCAACGATTCTTATGCACCTGGGCTCCATTTAGGAGACTGTCAGTTGCAGCATTCTTCTTTTTTTCTTTCTTTCCTGACAAAATTCTTGGTTTGGAAAACAATTTTCAGTCTCTAGGATCTACTATAACATTAATAATATATAAACTAGACGGGGTAGAAGAAGAATTCTCTACTTACCCCTCACCTGCTTACACATACACCTAAGACTGCTAAAACAAATCAAATGCAAAGAACCAAAATGAGTCTTAGCTTCGGAAAGCATGTGCTTACACTGAAAGCAAAATTCTTTTCAAGGCTTTTGAAGAAATATGTTGGAATAAAGTGAGTTCAAGTCTGATGACTCCAAGCCCTCCGCTTTTAAGATACTTTGTCCCTATTCTTTTTGGCCCAACTTGCCATATATTGAGGAAGCCCTCTTACCCCTTATTATCACTATAATTACCCTTTCAGTCTGGGTGAGAGGTGGGGGAAATGGTAATTATTTTTTCCTTTCCTAATTTCTATAATTCAAAGATATTCAATTTAGACAGCACTTTCATTATATAAGGGAAGAATAATTTCCACTATGTTCTTGCTTCCTATTGTATGTTCATCTTTCATTTCTTCCTGATAGTTAAAACAGATGCTGCTTTATAGAAAAAATTAGGGTAGAATGTCATGTCGTGGCAGTTTATTAACTCTAATCTACCTAGGGTCAGACCTGCCTTGGCTTGTGGAGTCATCTCTGTTGCAATAGGTGGTGGTGAATGCCCTGTTCTCCCAGGTTTACAGAAACTGGAGCCCAGGGCAGACATCTAGCTGTGTAACCTGCAGTGCCCTCACTGACTAGCTGTCTTAAAAGTAACTTTGCAGAATGTGTTTGGGCCTCTTGTTTCATTAAACAAAATAAAACAAGAACAGTATTCCTTTAGTGGTAGGTGATTGCTGAAATATTAGCCAGAAATTTAAGACATAGGTCTTACATGAGGAGATGGACCAAAATCAAGATTCCAGAAGTTTATTCTGCATGAACTCCCTGAAGAGGAGCCAAGATGCTCCAGTGTATGGCTCAGTTTTTACCAGTTTGTTGATTTCATGTAAAGGTGTTTATTTATTTATTTATTTTTACAAAGTTGGGGGCAAATCTTTTCATTTCAGGTTTGAAAAAAATAAACATCATGTGTCTTCTAAACATTTAGCTGGCATTAACAGCAGCACACACCCCCACCTCCAAAAAGGTGCATCTTTTGGAAAAGGGGAAACCAAATAAGTTAGACATCTTGCCTTAACAATCTTAACCCAAAAAGTAGGAAAGCAAGTTTCATCATAAATGAAACACTAAAGCAAGGCTTCTAAGTAGACTGTAACACAGGGGGAAAAAAAACCAAGATATTGCTAATTAACCCCCAGGGCAGCTCCTTTATTTCCCACATAGAAAGCCTTTCCTGCTTGGAAGAAGCTACTAAGGTACAAGTAAAAAAAGCAGTTGAGCTGGAAAGGAGGAAGAAATGAAGGAGAAAAAGAGGAAGAGGGGGAAAAAACTGGGTGTATTGGTTCATTGAGTCAAGGCATACAAGTTAGATCTTCAAATTACTACAACACTTTTGTCAGAAATGTGCTTTGTTTAACTCCAACTTTGTTTCAGGCATCAATAAATTTACAAAAAAGCTTCGGAGTCCATATGCAATTGATAACAATGAACTACTTGACTTCCTTTCCAGAGTCCCTTCAGATGTACAAGTGGTATGTAGGTTTCGTTATTATTATTGCTATTATTTTAATGTAGTGTGGCATGGGGTTTTAGCTTTTATATCCTTCTAATTTCAAAGGCTTTAGAAGAGCTGAGTAAAAATTAATAAAGCCTGTGTAGCAGATTTTACCAGTCAGAAATTTAGCCCACCTGGGGTGTTATCCAAGAAGCACTTACAGAGAATGGGAGAAAGAGCAGTTGCATAAAGAACCTACCAGAGCTGTCAGGGAAGATCCTCCTCCAAGTTAGTTCAGCTGGAGTTTGTGACAGGGAGTATGACCTGAGGGGAGGAAACCAGGAATATTAGATGATGAAAGCAAAATATGCCAGTGGACATTTAAGAAAAAAAAGTCTTTCCAGAATTTGCAAGAGTTACAAGTAAGTTTTGAAGAAGTATATTTTGGAGATCAATGAGGAGAGGAAAGCTGACTGCTTTTTGAAGAGTGGAGCATATCTCAAAAATCCTTTGAGGTTAATGCCCATTAACCATCAGCTGTTTTCAAAATAAAAGAAGTTTGTTTTTTTTTTTTTAAATCCTGAAGCTGGGTTACAGTGATACCTTTTTCATTTGCTATGACATGACAGTGGGCTGGATGGAGATTAAGACTGTATTAAGCAAACACACGATAAATTGTAAAAAACCATTATCGAGCCCTTTAAAAAATTGATGTAGATGGTTTTACTTTTAATGTAATGTGTTATAGACAGTGAATACCATTACTAAAGTTCACATCAGGGCCCCATGTACTTTCCAACAGGATTTCCCTTATTCTTGCTCTGTCATTCTATTGCTTTCTGCATCTCAGCTGCAGATCCCATACAGCTTCTAGAGTGAGCACTTTCTTCCCCCAAGCACCGTCTCTCATTCCTTTGCTGTTCCTTTCTTTGCCAGAAAGTGGCCACCTGACCAGTCTTCCTCTGAACTCTGTTTAAACAGGTGCAATACCAAGAACTGAAACCAGATCCTTCTCATAGCCCATATAAAAGAAAGAAAAACAATCTTGGCTAGCCAGCTCCCAGCACTGAGGAGACCAGCATCTGTTTGGGAAGATAAAAGAAAAAGCCCTCAGCCTCAGCAGCATTTCCTTTCTTTCTGCTTTTTATTTATTTTGCCTTTTTATCATGATCGAGAGAATCTGTAAATAGTGTACAAAGGCATATGTCTTTGAATATATACTTCTATTGTACAGACTCAACTTGATAAAGGTTTTGCTACTGCTGTGTCAAAACCTTGTTAGCTGTGGATAATAATATAACACACTGAAAGAACAAATATAAGAATGATAACACTGGAAGATATATTCTTATCTAATTACTAGTGGATTAAATACTCACCTGTGCTCTGATTAAATCTACATCAATTGTAAATGTCGATTTGATTTTAAAGTTTTTTTTTAATGCGACTATTTTTTATCTGAAAAGTAATCCATTACACTTTTCTATGTTTTATACATTTCAAAAGGGAGGGAAATTCCAAAGCCTGAATAATGGAATGGATACATTTCAATTTAACATATATTCTGGCTTTAGATCCCGACATTCACTCCTGTGCAAATTACTTAGGTATGACTTAGGCTAATTTTAAGCTAATAAGTGAAGGTACATTCACTCCCTCAAGAGAATCAATACTCAGAAGGTTACAAAGTTTTCTTTATAGAATTTCAATCAATCATTCCATCTAAAACCTTAAAATCTCTACAGGACTACATAACATAAATACTGCCAGTTTATAAACGATTGCCTATCTGAATTTTTATACCTACCACTACTTTAATTTATACAGTTAGTTAGCAAATTAGCAACCCAGTAAGTACAGTTATCAAAAATACTAGGAAACTATATCCATATCGCTTTTGGTGTCAGATTGTATCTGTGCATCTAAAAATATTTTAATAAATACTCAAGTGCTCTCAGAGAAAAAAAAAACCTGCTTTCTCATTAGATTACTGAAATGCTTTAATTCATACTATGATTTTGTTATTAGTGTGAATTTTAATGTAGAGAATTCAGTGTGCTAAGTGATATGCCAGTGTTTCACTACATTCATTTATTAAAAAAAATCATTCTTGATTATGCATGAAAACCTGTTTTGTAAAATAAAATAAACTGCTTGGGGGTGGTGGTTGCCTTTATCAATGTTTCACTATTATCATAGAATCTATACTTAAAAATTGCATTCCCAAGACTCTTAAAGTAGTTTTTATATCTCACTCCCTGGTATACTAAGGGAGCATAACTCTGGAGAAAAAATAATTTGGTTGGTTGAGAATGTCTTACTTCCCTGACTTGGTAGGGGACTACACTCAGTTGAAATTGCAGCAGACAATGCTTTGCACTACTTTATTAATAATAAACTTGGATGGGGTAAAAGTGGGGGTTATACTGGAAAAACTATAGAAAAGCTAAAAGAAATGTATATTTCACTCTAAAGGAAGATTCTTTAACAATAAATGTAATCTCATTGAAGCTGATTTTTAAAGTATTTTTATTTTAGAGATAAGTTGTTAAATACTATTTCTTATAATAGAACTATTTTGATCTGTTTATATACTATGCTTGAATGTCAATTAAATTCCCTTTCTACAGAAAGGCTTTGACCTCAACATGCTTTATTTAATGTATCATGTTTAAAATGACATGCTTCTGTCTGCATACCATCACTGTTTGTTGCTAAAAACATAATGTTCCATGAACATGATGTTACTACAGAAAGTTTATTGATGAGATAACTGTTTGAAATAACTTTCAATTATACCTTATGTGAGACTTTTATGTTCTGTGCTGACAATGTGTACTCAAATGTCTATAAGCCTGATATTCTACAACCTCAGATGTATCTAGTGGATAGTAACCATTAACAGATGACTAATTTGTTTCACTGTATCAAATTTCAGATGTTTAGTTCAATGGTAATGCTGACTACACATTCACTGTATTAAATACAAAAGAAAATAATCTTTCCCACGTATAATCAGCACTCCTTTTTTTTTTTTTTTTGGTGGTTCAGAGATTGATGAGGGATTGTGTGCATATTCTTAAAAACTATATGTCACTTGGAGAAAAACAGATTTGGTTTAAACAAATAAGACCTTTTTCCTGAAACTCTGACTCTTATATGAAAATACCTCTGGAGGGGTGAGCAACCAATGACATTAACAGAGGAATAAGAACTAGCTTGAGGCACAAAAGTGATATTCAGGGAAATCTTCATTGCTTTTAGAAACTACTACATTCACAGGCTGAAAACAGAATATGTATAGTTAAAATTTTAACTATTTATTTCTTTCCCCTTCTCACATAGCTGCAATTCTGTCTTGAGAGCTGCCTGACTTGCCTTCATTTTGAGATCTGTGATGTAAATATTTCTTAAGAGACTGAATGTCACTCAAACATCTACTTGGACTGCTAACTATTATAGATATTGTGAACTACTAAATATATTCCTTTAGTATCTTTTAGTGAGTAAATTCACTGAGTCATTATTTATATTCATAAACTATTACTGACATTCGTTGTGATAATTCATAAGAAATGCGTATTTGTGCTTTTAAATTTTTCCCCACTTATCAAAAAGAACATAATAGTACTTCTCATTCATTCTGGTACTGTTCCAGACTCAAACTGATTGATTGATTGAATCTCCCAACTCAGATTATCCTAGTGCATATAGAATGTTCAAAAACTGGAATTCCTACAGAACCTATCAATCAATCAATCAGTTTTTGAACATTCTATATGCACTAGGATAATCTGAGTTGGGAGATTCTTAAAAGGACTCTGTGATATATTTATCGAATACCAACTGTATGACCCTGTTATAGACAACGGTCAAACCAATGATTGTATACTAAAATCAAATCTGGAGTTGAAGTACAGTGAGAGCCAAATTTAATTGATACATTTCTAAAATTATCTTTTATAAAATTTTTATTCTGCATTTAAAAGTGAAGAAAAACTCAGAAGTAAATGCTTATCTAGGGACCACAGGAGCTTTTTTTCCACTTTGATCTCATATCTAAGGTCTCCTATGCTCAAAGTAGTCTACATTTGTATTAATGTTATTCAAAGGCAGTAATTTCAGCGAATAAACTTGTTAAATGGGCCTAAATGTTTATAATGTTGACTAAGCATTAAGAACAAACAAAAAGGTATAAGGCAGTTATACCTTTTTGCTCCAGAAATACAAGTAAAGACAGCTACCATTATACTTCTTGAAAAACGTCTCAGGTATTGCTAAATTAATACTTGCTTAAATTCTTGGGCTTTAAATGAATAGCGTGATTTCACACTCTAGTGTGAGTGAGTGTACAGATGATGTCTATTCGTTGGTTTGATTAGGGTATCTAGAATCAGCCTTTTCTAATTGCTCAGTAAAGTATGAATTAAAACCACATAGAAAATAATGTGGTAAATTCTTTCTTACAATAGTGTCATTCCTTTCAATTATAATTCTTTTTCCTGGGATGATTGGTGTAACTCACTGAAAGAAAACAAAACATTTTTTTTTCTTTTTTTTTTGGTGAAAATGTTACCCTCTGGTACCTCAGTTTCTTTTATATAGTGGCAATTTGAATAGAGGCAGTCACATAAGATTTACTTCAGCTGAATGGCTAAAATTTGAGAAATACTATTGAAAAATCTCATTAAAAAATAGTATGCAAATAAAAACTATCAAATGTCCAAAGCAATCATACAATGTAGAAACTAAGAGCACCATGAAAGGTTTCCTGGAACTTAATGATTCTATCTGTGCTTTTCAAAGGAGGGATCTGGGTTAAGAATCAAAAAATAAAAACAATCAAATATTGTAACTGACCTCAAATGAGTTTCAATTTATTGGGCTCTTCTTTGACATTCTAAGCTTAAAAAAAAAAAGAAAAAAACAAAAAAACCACCAAAAACCCATACAAAAGAAGTGTTCTATTACATGCACAAGCAGTATTTTTGTAAAGACAGGTTTTTAAATTTATATGATTATCCGTACCTCCAAATGTCACTGAAAAATTATTACTCCATTTTTTACAAAGTAAAATACACTGCTGTTCTGCTTTAGTCAATTAAGTGTTTATTATATTAGGCAGAAAGATTTGTTTCAAGGAAAGCGGAAATGGTTTACGTAAGTAGCCGTGCCTACGTTTTTTCAGTATGTAGCAAAATTAAAATTGCAGTGCAATTATCCCCTACTACAGATTCTTCAATGTTCCTTCCAAAGAGAAAAGGAGTGGCCAACCTGAACCAATGAGTGAACCTGAAAACTATCTTTTCTCTGGAGGAATACATTTAAGGAGATCCTGAGGCCTGGCTGAGTGGAACTCACTCCCACTTGCTAGTGGGAACTTGCTCCCACTAGTGAAGAAAGATGATAATATAGGTTCAGTTTCACTTTCTAGTCAAAGACAAGCTCAAAAGGGCTTGAGTCCATTTGAGGGATTTTATTTTGCCAGAGTTCAAATGGTGACAGGTTTGGAGGAAATGCTAAATTCATAGAAAAAGCACACCTGGCCCTCACTACTCATACTTGCCTTTTGCATTACTGGAGACACCTGAGAATAGTCAAGCATTGTTAGAGACAGCTGGACCACAGAAGAGAGATGAGGGGAAGGAAATGACATATTTGTCCCAAGCTCAAAGAACCCTTTTTAATAAAGCTATCAGAGAACTGAAACCTTATAACTACATGCCCCACAAAACATTCTTCTTTTCTATAGTAGTAATTATGAAAAGTCAAAATCTCTGTGTACCTTGTAACACTGCAACCATGGAAAACAATTTATCGGTGTCAAGAACTAATAAGCTCTTGGAAAAATTTTACAAAGAAGTGTCTATTTGCTATTATACAAGGCGGAGTATGTAATTTTGTCATCTTTGTTTTATAATAGAGGAAGTAGTTAACAATTTCTGAGCAAAAAAACACAATGGTATACCTACCTCTTACGTTTGGCCTTAAACTCTTACAAACTTCAGTTTCCATTAACAGAGAACCTAGCAAACATAAGAGGGTCTTTGAAGCACACGAGAAGCCATCCAGAAAACACTATACATATCTGACAAAGGAGTTTTTAAACAGATTAATGTGATGTTCCATTATTTGTGTGAAATTGCTTAACATCACTTTTAAAAACATTCATTTTCAGAAGTAAGAGAAAAACTTTTTTTAAAAATCAAAACATACAGCGCTTGGTAATTTAAGCAAAAGCAAAATACTCTGACTTATGGATTGGGGGTACCAAGTATTCACCATCCAATCTTGCACACTATGATGCTACGTACTTGATACATAGTACATTTAATGCATATGTACTTGATTTCCCTCCCATAACTGTGACAACAGCCCTGACCGGTAGGTAAGAAATCTTCCCCCTAAAAACAGATTGATACTATCAGGTTGTACTATAGTTACCATGTAGGTATCCAGGATATTTATACAAAACACAACTGTAAAAAGATTGTTCTGAGTTGTACTACTTAAAAGAGTACCTTTCAAGAAGCTATTTTGCCGGCCTTCACAGAAGAGGTGCAAAATAATATGCTCTGGAGAGCTGTGGTAAGACACTCTCAGAATTCTCTCAACAGAGGGTTGTTTGTATCTGCATTAATGTTGCAAATAATAAGTTATAAAGTGGATATTTTTTCAGAGTGATGATAGAAGAAAAAAATTCTTTATACAGTAGTATCCTTTCAAAGCCATTTAAGGTACAATCTTTGAATAAATGTAGCTATCATTTAATCTTACCAGTTTCTCCCTGCTTTTCTGTGTCGTATCTGAAAAATCTCACTAGAGAACAAGTAATTCTTCAGGTCCCATAAATACTAAAATCACAAAGTAAAGATATGTTATGACTCCACATAGTATCCACATGAGCAAGTTTAATCTTTAGCAATTTAAGAGTACTACAAAAGAGTAAAGTCCCCCCAGTTCCCACTTCAGCATACTTGGGGCTCCATTTTGAAGTGTCTTAAAGAGTAGAGAACCATATCAGTAAAGTGGTCAGATTCACTTTGAAAAAAGGAGCACATGTATAGTGTATTTTTTGAGATCTGTGTTAGATAATACTAATTATACTTTTAATTATATCCAACTTTAAATAGTATATTAAAACTGTAATTTACCTTTTAAAAATCCAGTAGGTGCCAGTTTAAATAAGGCAACTTTAGAAAAATTTCAAGGACTGATTCTTACTTAAATCAGGAGCATTACTTTCAAAATAAATTGGATACTGGTATTATAAACAAATACAAATCATTACAAAGAAACCTGGAGAGGTGAAAAAGATCCAAAATTTTTTCACATAAAGACAATCACTATAAGCAATTTTTTACTTACAATCTTTTTCCTTATGTAATTTAGATGATATATTTATGTTATTATTTTTTTAAAAGAGTCTTGCTATGTTGCTCAGGTTGGCCTTGAACTCCTGGGCTCAAGTGATCATTCTGCCTCAGCCTCTCAAATAGCTGGGACTATAGGCATGTGCTACCATGTCTGGCTGAGAAGATCCTTTTTAATAACATTTAGTTTCAATTTTAAAATATTAATATTAGTAAAAAATGATATTTAGGTAAAAGGTCCAACCACTTTTAATAAGTAGCTTTCAACTCTCTGAGTCCATTTCCTCCAGTAACATGTAGGAACTTAACAGTATTTTTGGGAGTGTAAAAGAACTGAAATGACAGGAAAATAAGAAATGAGTCAAGATTTGCCTGTGAGAAAGGACTGAGTATTACTATTCGAAACAACCTTTTTCTCACAGGAAGACAAATACCACATGATCTCACTTACATGTGGAAGCTAAGAGAGGTGATCTCATAGAAGTAGACAGTAGAATGGTGGTTACCAGAGGCTGGGAAGGGAAAGGGAGGGAAGGCAAAGATGGGGAGAGGATGGTCTGAAGGGCTACAAAGTTAGTTAGATGAACTAAGAAGAGTAAGTGCTGATGTTCTATTACATAGTGGGGCGACTACAGATAATAACAATGTATTATATTTCAAGATAGCTAGAAAAGTGGGTCTTGAACGTTATCACCACAAAGAAATTGGAAAGGTTTAAGATAAATGACATGTTAACCACCATGATTTTATCATTATACAATGTACACATGTATTGAAGCATCACACTGTACCCTAATAAACATGTACAATTATTATGTGTCAATTGTTTTTTAAAAAACAGTGAAAAAAAATCTAGCCTGTTTCTGATACCATTAGAACTGGAATTTTATTATTCTTTATTTTTGATTAAATTGAATTTCGACCAAAAGAACCTTCTATAAAACAATTATCTGGACCTTTGGTTTAGTTTATCGAATATTATTCAAAAATTTCAAAGACCCAGTTTATTTCTGAGATTAGTCTACATGCTTGTCTGATTTTATACCTTCATTAAGTTCCATCAATATAATAAACAGTACCTAGAAATCTTTACCCTTTGGATTCCTTTAAGCAGAATGATTCTTAACCATTTTTCCCCTCATCCCCTTGTCCAGTTTTCACCTTTACAATTCTGCTTTTAAGTTTTCCTGGAAAATTCCTTAAAACACATATTTTAATTTTACCAGATTTTACTTATTGCTCGGTAATTTTATCTCTAATATAAAAAGGAATGAATGCAAAGTAGAAAAATGCATCTTTAGGATGAAGCCAGATAACAAAGATAAATATTCCTTTAAACAAAAACAAAAAAACTATCATAAATCAAACTATTCTGGTCATTAGAAAAATTTATTAAGAGTCATGACATAAACCACTGTTGACCTAACCTTTAGGTTGAGAAGTCACTGACAACAAACTAAGTTATTTTCATCTGTCAACACTTTAAGATTAATGATTTTTCAATATTACTATTTATTTCACTTTGAGACAGAATAGAGAAGCAGTGGTAATTTTAGTTCATCTACTATCAAGATAAACGACAGTATGATAGGTATAAATTCAAACCTGGATTCCAGATTTTCAGTTCAGCGCACCTGACTTTTTGGAAGTGCTAAACCTTTTGTTTTGTTTTTTGTTTAAATTTCTACTCTTTGGTAGAATGAAATTGTATGTCCCAAACTAGTGAGCCATTCTCTATTAATGTTTAACATCCATAATACATTAACGTTCACTTGATCCAACTCAGATACTTTGGCAAGGAAGAGGATTAGATCTACCAAATCTGGGTTCTACATCTAAAAAGATTTGGGGCCATGATACAAAAATGACTAATTTGGAAGTATATGTTTTAATTCTAATTGGAAATAACTATTTATAAATACTTGAATAAGGGCTTTTGGGGTCTATATTTGTTAAAGGCAATATGATATATTACATATATAACAATACTGCATATTTTGTTAGAAATATGGTTTAATAGTCACTTTGCTGACTTAATATTGTTGATCTTTAACTCTGCAAGTAGTTAAAAAACCCAGAACAGAGTTCATTATACTTCTGTTTTAAAAAGGGGGTGGGAGGGATCATCTCTTGAAAAACAAAAAGTATTAACATTCTAAAAAAAAAAATCACTTATATCTAGTACTAAGGATTGTATTTCAAGCTTTTTAAAAAACATAGTTCAAGTGTATTTATAATCAAAACTATATACTTACACTAAAAAAGACATAGTAATACATTCAAATATAAAAAGTATTAGGAACAGCTTGTACATATTTTAGATGTTCTGTAAGATAAGTACTTAAGAGGACAAACTTTTTAAACATCTAATAATCAATAATGTTAAAAATGTTTTATTTCCTTTGAAAAGGTCTTCTTTGAGTAGGATTTGCCTTACCTTGAAAATGTATACTCAGAGCCAAGTAAAACAACACTTCAACCTTTTCTAATTAATTTATAGCCTATAATAATTTCAAAATATATATCACAACAAATAACTACCAAAGTATATTCTCCAACTACAGTTCATTTTAACCTACAAGGTGAATTTTCTGATAACATAATTTGATTTACAAGGAATAGTTAACAATTCCATGTCTCCTGTTTTGACAACACCAGGCAGAGCTTAATTCTAATAACGCTATCACTGACCTTTCTAACTCAATCCACATTTGTCATAAAAACAATTATCATTCCTAGTTTTGCAAGCTCCACGTCAGCAGGAGGTGCAATTGGCGTGAAAGCTACGTGATAAATGCCTCAGGGAAAGAGTGCCTCATGTCACTCAAGATGACCCCTTCCTACTGATTAAGGAGCAACAGTGACAGGCTCTCATCAAGTTCACCGCTTAACTGGAAAGGTGTATAAAGGCATAAGGATTGCACATTCCATGGATATTTTTTTCATGTGAAGGTATTCATTTAATTAACTTTCTATAGCAGCATAAACAAAAATGGCAGATATTTTCTGGAGGTTATATAAAGTATCTTAGTGTAATGCATTTGTGCTTGCTTAAAAATACTAAGACTGCAAAAGCACACCCTACACCCTATCCACTCTAAAATAAAATTGCTAAAATAATACTCATCAAAGGATTAAAGTACTGGACACTTGAATATTCACATTTATAAACTAAAACAGAACACCAATTATTACTGAAATTAATTTTTTAGCAGATGTAGAAGACAATAAAATTCACAATACTTAAGCCTTATTTACCTTCCTAGACTGTGGGCCTTTCCTCTTTTTTTGTAGTTAGCCCTTGTCAAGCACACCACCTGGTTCAGAGTAGGTGTTCAAGAAATGCTGAATTCAAAGGAATTAATTTCACATTTGACTTTTATGAGGATAAATGTTTTTCTGGTCATCTTGGAATGAATAAAATGACAGAATATGTATATACTTGGATGATTTTATTCTGCAAAGTGAAATTAAAAATTAACAACCTAGAAAACTCTAACTTCAAAGAGATTTAAGAAACTGCCAGTAAACAATGCATGGGGAAAAGCTGAATCTTAACTGCTCAGAAATCTCCTCTCCAGCTTTATTTACATTGTAATAAGGTCTCTTACAGAAATTTAAAAAATATGATTCCATAGAACTATGATATCACATCTGGCAAAATACAGTGAAGAATAGCATTTCTCAACCTTGTCTTCAGATGCAACTTTGAAAAGTCTGCCATTGAAAATCTAGGACTAAGACTATGAATTATACTTTACTTATTGAGAATTTCTTCTTCCTATACCTCCAAGATAGATTTGGGCAATTATTCAAGGCAATTATTATTATGTTTTCTAAAATAAAGTATAAGAAGTAATTTTGGGAATGAAGCCTTTTCCTGAACATTTAGATTCATACTCATATACTGGTATTGTTAGCCAGGGCACAGAACACAGTAACCTATGTTTGCCACGTTGGACTTTCGAAGAAGTGTAAAACTTCTTAAAGGCAGAGACCTCAGTGACATCTGTTTCACACTTCATGTCATCACTGCTTGTAGAAGTTGGCAGACAGAGCAGTCAATTATGAAATATTAATGCTAATTGCAATTAAACAAATATACGTTATGAACATCTAATTTGGAAAACTACTTTGTACTAACAGTATAAAACCCTAACTCATGATGTTGATTCCTTAATTACCTTAGAATTACTACCAACTTAAACAATTACTATATTGCCTTTTGTCTAAATGATTCATTATAATCAAAAGAGGAGGTAAGAATTAGAAAGGAAATAATATTTATTAAGTGTCATATGATGTGATATGCTAACAATTCTATCATGACAAAGATACCTGGTGTGATTTCTATTTGACATGTAGGAAAGCCAAAGCTCAGAAAAGAATTTGCCTTGCAATTTAGTTATTAAGAAACTAGACAAGGATTTGAAAATGTGTATGATGTCAAAGCCTATGTTTACAAGTTTATATTAGTTTACCAAGCAAACACTATCCCAGACACCTTTACAAGTGAAGTAAAGAGGTACTCATTGGAATAAAAAACGTTCTTATTCATCATCTGGAGAAGCACTTTACTCTCTATAAGCATTTAAACTCTTCTTAGATAGTCTTCACTATATCATTTTTTGTCTGATACTTTGGCAGATTAATAATAAAGAGATTTGTATGATGCCAAATTTGAAGGCTAAATAGAAACTAGTATTTCCTGAGTATGTGTGGAAAAAGTACTTATTTAAAATATTTTTTCATACTGATATAGCAGTTTTCAATTTAGATTACAAACCCAGTAATATGATACTGAGCATTTGTATCTTGTTAAAATATCTATTTCCAAAATAAAACTGAAGTGTATTGCTTTAGCAGATTAACTGCTAAGGTCATCACTTGAATTACATAAAAGCTAAATGGAAGTGTTTATTTTCCACCTGTATCATAATGTAACTTACTCCCAGTAGTGAAGAAACTCCAATCTCAAAAGTGGTTATTATCCACACCCTTTCTTTTAGTTTTACTACAAACTGCTATAAGGAAAAACTGCAAATTAAAACATTACTACTCAGTAAATTCATACTATATATTAAGATCTTAAATAATCTCAAATCTATTACTTAGATGCCACTCAATATCTTAATATTAAACTCATAAACCTATGCAGCAGAATGTTTTCAGGTACAGAATACTGGGTTACATAGGGCAGCGACAGATACATTTTGTATATGAATTGCTAAAATAAAACAGATCAAGGAATTGAACTGTCAGACTCTGCATATTTGCTGCATTTAAAAACCAAAAGAATATTAATTATTACTGTAAATTTTAGAAATGTTTATTTTAGAAACACACAAAGCTAAAATGCATATTTCAGTCCAACAACCTAGAGAGAAGAAATAGGGAGCTACATGTTTTTGTTTAGTCTTGTTTTTTCCTCAAAATCCATCCCTAAGAGTCAGGAGCTACAAGTTTATAGGTACGCATTTGTATGAATATGCTTGCCATGATTCTAAGACCTAGAACATCTAGAATACAGGACATTACATTTTTATTTGAAAAAATATTTAAATTAATTTTACATGTACAATATAATATCACTTTCAGAACAAAAAAACATTAATGAAAGTAGAATATACTAAAACAAAATTATTTTTACTTTTGAGTCAAATTCTACACCCTGGAAAAAGTCAGAAGCCCATACTAGAGTTTTGTAGAAGTTTTTTTAAAAATGCTTTTAAAATTTAGCAAGGCTGCAAAGTCTGTCAATAAATAAATCAAATTACTATCTGTCAGTAAGCTATGAAGTCCACAGTAAGTACCAATGCAAACTGAACAGATTTAGAAAGTCAATCCATACTTTCTAGCATCATCATGAAAACTCCATGACTGACCGACACATCATTTCCAATGTTATCATCAAGGCCTCAGTGTGTACCCCAGGACACACTTTCAAATTCTCAGGCAGTTCCTTAAGAATGTGTGGGAGTTTCTGCAATGTCTTTATATTTCCAGCATAAAGATCCAGTAACCAGTCAGTATGAACACTGGTGGTTTCTTTATGACTTTTACAAGCCATAAGCAGTTCATTTAGATGAGTTAACCCTTTGGAAGCTAAAATGAACTCTGAAGATAAATCAAAAATTGAACAAAAATTTAGCAACATCCTACTAAGTAAAAAGGAGCCAAATTCAAGTTGCTGGTAATGAAAATGTTTCTCTGCTTGTGCATGAAAGTTCTCCACTGTATCTTCTATTTTTGTAATAGCAAACAGTTCTTCTTTGATTTGAGGTGAAACCACATAATCCAAGGGCAATTCTCCCTTAGCATTCCTCTGTTGTAAAAGCACTGGGCCTGTGAAAAGAAAATGCAAAATGTTGCAAGTAAAACATTTCTATTTTGGCAGCTTAACAGCTCTTTTCTCCTTTTTCCCAAAGCATCCAGTGCTTTCTTTGCAATCATATTTTGTATTAATTCATGTCGACACAATTAACTGACTATATATATAGACGAATAAAGGTACATTAAAAAAATTCTAGTCAATTACCTAATAAGGTTTCCCCAAACGTGCATGCCTCCGTTAAATAAATAATAAATACAACTACAAATAAAAACTTTTATAAAACTTTATCAACTGTCATTTTAAAATAAGAATTTCAGTGTTCCCAGAAGAAATCTTAAAAATGTATTATTCATCTTATAAATTCTATACAAGAGCCTCAGGGGTATCTCAAAATATCACCAAGAGGAAAAAGTAGTGCCCCTTTCATTGCTAATAAACAATTCTAGCAGTGCAAAGACTACAAAACCTTGCACAGATAGAGAACAGTTTTCATATTACCCTTGCTTGTGTTCAATGTTTAGTACAGGTAACTGGTTCACACAAATTACATATTAATTCTTCTAGATCAAACTCAGATCTCATCCATCTATACTAGTTAAACTCATTTAACTACCTACTTAGAAAGTACTAAAGATAGAGTTTATCCACTAAGTACTAAAGGATGATGTGGAGAAGGCAAAACATAACTCAGTATTTGGTTACATAGCAAAGTATAGGAGTACTTTTGCCTTCATCAGTCAAGTCTTATAATTATTTATGCACTTGGCCATAAAAACGTTACAGGGGATATAAAGATTTTAGTACTAGCAGACATAATCACTAGGTCCTACAATTATAACATAGATCATATTGTCAGAAAGAGAGAACTGATTATAACTGCTAAAATTCATAATGATGACTCTGATCAGACATACATAGTAGCATAGATATAAAATGTACTTAATATAAAAGATCAACCATTGATAATATGATTAATGTATAATTTATGGAAAGAAGATAATTCTAAAACAAAATTAGGCTCCTTTTCACTGTGCCAACATCTCAAAAAAATTGTTCCAAGTTACTTCTGTTTAAAAAAAAAAAAAAAGACAAAATTACGGACACAGGATACCAAAAGTAAACAAACGTTTTAGAGAAATAAATAAATTCTTGAAATTATTGCTCTTGAGGCTGAGTGACTCACAATGAATAGATAATGCAGTTACTTCAATATAAGTGTCAAACCACTTGACAGGTCCAAACCCAGAATATGACTAAGGCAGAAACAAGTCTGTACGACTGCCAAAGGACCTTGATAAAAACAAAAACAATTAGATTTCCTCTTCTAGGAGGAGAAACTCATCTCTTTACTATTCTCCACTAAGAGCCCTAGAAAAATTCACATTGGTTGGTATAATGCCATACTCTACTGAAGAGCTGGACCTAATACAATAATGGCTCCTAACAAATATTGGCCTGAATGCCAGACACACGGCTGAGTAGAAAAATAAAACATTAAGGAGGTAGAACTTATGGTTTAGTAAACACAGAATACTAAAAAAAACAAGGTAGAAGAACTGAAAAACATTGACTATGAAATGATATCAGTAAAACAGACACACTAAGGCCTTTAGGGGGCAGGAGAAGACTATATATAACCAAATGTCTTAAACTCCCATGCTATACAGCCTTCCTTAGATGCATATATACTAAAAAGACATCTTAAGAAAATACGCTTTTTGTCTTTATGCACAATCAAATGTTTTAATTACAGGATAAGATAATGTTAAATTTAAATGTAAAATTAATACAAATAAAAACGACAAGTAATTTCTACAAATCTTTGTTTCCATATTCTAAGCTGGTCATCAGTTTTCTTTTTTTCTTTTAAAAGCACCAATCCGTTTTGAACATTTTGTTGTAAAATTTATATTATTCAGTTTAGATATAAGAAGAATGACACTGAAATAATGTGGGGCCTTGCTGAAAGCAAAGATCAAAAATCAGCAGGAAAAACGCAGATGAATATTCAGCTCAAGTTACCTCCTTCACAAAACCCCTGCATAACAGTTATCACCATTTGAAAATCCTCCTGCTTTAACTTAATTGGCTGCAAAATGTGAATGACGAAAAATATTCTAGGATATCATTTTTTTACAGTCTGTACAGAAATGACTCATTAAAAATAAGATTGAGTTTGTAGTTACATACAGGAAATGAAAAAATCCAGGTAATCACAATTGAACATTTATATCCATTTATCAATAAGCTTTCAGAAATGACTGGCTCACAAAGACATTACACACCTGAAGGAAAAAGATAAATATTTAAAACCAGCAAACTCAATTCAAAAACAGACTCTCATACACGAACCTAAATAGGCTTAATAATATATACATAAACAAATATACATTATGAAAAGGATTTTATCTCTAATAATAAAAGGTGCTTACGTTTTAGGAGACTTTTTATCCTTACTTTTTCATTAATATGAAATAAAGGCATCTTTCCTTACAGATTTTAAACATAAAATGCTATCTACCTCTGCAGGATTCATCAAAAAACTGGATAATTTATCAAAACCCATTTAGCATAAACACACTCACCCCCATGCTGTAGTAGCAGCTTGCCAATTTCTACATGTCCGTTTGACAGTGCATCATGCAAAGGAGTCACCCCGTCCACTTGAGTGAGCAGATCTACCTCTGGACAACGTTGCAAAATTTCCTGGACACACACTGTGTTGCCATAGTTACAGGCTTCATGCAAAGGCGTCCAGCCAGCATTGTCTAAATTAGAAATCAAGGCAAGTTTTAAAACAGCAGAAGTAGGACTTTTGGTAGAAAAGTACTGATGTTCTACTTTTCTCATCAGTGTGACTTTCTAGGTGCTTCATATACAAAAAGAATGCTGTGATAAAAATGTCTAGGGTGTAATCATATTTCTACCTTAAAAAATTAAAATAAAAACAATTTTAAAATATTAATGTTGGGTATTATCAAAATATGGACACCAAAAAATGTTTTTATACCATTAGTTATAAATCAATATATGAGAAATTTCTTGGCTTTGCTAAGAAATTTTTCTTATACTTTTAAGATACCTTAGGTAAATTTACTTAAATAATTTTTCTTAATGTGATATAAAACTGTTTAATATCACAAATATTAAGACATTGGACTAGACCACAAAGATTTAAAACTTACCTTTAACATTGATGTCTATTCCTGGCAAAGAGAGAAGAAGAATCAATTTCTCCACTTGGTTATTTATGCAAGCTCTATGCAGGGCTGTTTCTCCTGCCATAAAAAATTAATAGATTATTCCAGAGAAGACAAGATATCAACTAAAAAAAATAATCAAAGGGCATGAACTAGGAGATCTGGCCCCATGCCAGAAATTTATTTATTGAGTTCTTCTTTTGACTGGTTTAAACATCCCCTGCATTTAAAAAGGCGGGGGTGGGGGGTGGGAAGGGGAAGGACCCCCACCAATCCATACTGCTTCTGTTCTATCAGCAATTCAGCAATGAAATTCTACTGCAAAAGGTTTAACACAGGCATTGTCTCCCCTAGTTCAAGGTTTAAAGCTTCAATCCTGCTATAAAACCCCCAAATGATCAGAGAACACCAAAAATACTGGGTTTTGCAGCAATAAAAGTTTAGAGTGCAATTGCCCTCTCTTAAATTTATTCATGAACCTACATTAAATGTATGGCTCTTTTTTATACAGCATTTATAGCTTAATTCAAATGAATGTTTCTGGCTAAGCATGAGTGCCTCTACACACTCAAGTATAATTCAGAACTTCAAATCCATTAACAGATGGTTTGCTGCTTCTCAATAGGCTGTCTGGCTTGGCTACAACAGCAGAGAGAGGGAGAAATGGAGGAATCTTAATATAAACACACCACACACACACACACACACAGACACACACACGGATGTAAAAAAAAAAAAAATCCCTAGTACCATTTAAAGCTGAACAAGAGTAACAAATAGAAATGACAAGGTTTTTTCTAGGAGAGACGCAATTAATGCCTTCTGGCTAAAATTGTCTATATCCATCACTGTTACAACCAAGATTAATAAGATATAAGTGATTATTTAAGGGGAATTTTAAAAAAATTACTATAAATGACTGCTTAGGAAACAAAATGAAATACTGAATCTAATTTGTTCTTACTATAAAATACTAAGTAGCACATTTTTACAGTGTTCAGTTTTACAGATTATCTCTAACTTCTACAAAAACATTTTTTTACATGCATAAAAAGCTTTTGAAGTTTTTCTCTACTATATCTCAATTCTCTTCCTCTCTCCCAGTTCCTTCTGCTGTTCTGCCTAAAATCATTCATATTCATTTTACTTTCTGAAACAATAAAACAAAGAAAAAGAACGCTGATTTGTGAAATTAATATCTGAGTTCTCATCTAATATAATTTTCATATTCCAAGTCAAATGGACAGTTATTTTGAATCTGTAATATGCAATTATGAACTTATATCACATTGAAATATAAGTGCTTCACTGTCACTATTTCCATGGGTGTCATAATGTTAATATTTGTATTAAAAACAAGATATAACTCATAAACAACAACAACAAAAAAGACTCAGCAATTTACTTTGGCCAGGTATAGACTTCTGGAAGATCCATTTACAAGTTATGAGGTGGCTAAGTAAAAGAGGTGCCAAAGTGAATTATTATGCTATTCTTGTTATTTCATCCTTTAGGTACTTAGGTTCCAGTATAGTTAGAACCAAAAGCCAAACACATTTCATAGTCTGGGCTCAATGCCTGGAAGAAAAGAGCCCATATGCTTAACACAGCTATGTAACATAGCCTACTCTTCATTCTTTGTTCACAAAATGTCTAGGACTGAAAGAGATGAAGACTGAATTATACTTTCAAATCAGAAGACACTGATCCTAAGCAGCACAGGTTGAGATGGAATAGAAAAGTAAGGCGGGCAAGTCTGGAATGAGCTCAATGAATGCTACACTGTGTTTCATATCTGTAATGGCAGGGAGAGGAAAAAAAGGAAAGAATACTCTATTATACTGGTTATTAAACAATCACTTTCTTTGCATAAATGACAGTTCAAGAAAATAATACGTTATCCAAGAAGGTACTTCCTGGACCTAGTCCAATATTTAAGTTCAAGTATTCATCAGGGCAAATGTGTGAAACCTGCAAGTACTGACTATAACCATGAAAAGTTCTTAGCATAAATTAATTTAAATACTTGGAATACCTTTTAGATTAGTCTTGTGAAAATTCATCTTTTTAACTACAGAGGGGCAATTCTCCTTGGAACATGACAATTCTCCTTCTGACTTCTTTTTCAATTTTTTTAATGATGAGGAACATTTAGCAAGGTTCAGGTCTCTGAAAGGAAAAGTAAGAAATAATGAAAGCTTGTTTTTCAGCAAGGCGTGCCAGCATACATTAGATGGTATTTTTTAAAAGTCTAGCCCCCTTTTAATTTAAACTCCCTTACTCATTCAATCTTTACTGCTTTCTAATTTTAAAATTTATTTCAACTGTGTAGAAACAAACTTCAGTGCACTAATTTTCTTTTATTAGTCCTACTCCCCCAACTGCTCACTAAATTTATAAATACAGAATGTCAAATAAAGAGAAAAAGACCAGTTAAACCATATTTGGCAGAGAGAATAAAGCAGAAAGCTAAGATCAAGCAGGCCTCTGCTCCCCATTCTTACTTTCATATTCTGATTCTATTCTCTTCTTCCTCTCACAGAAGCTTTCAGGCTTTCTGAGTTTTATACAACATACACTTTTATACACCTTATACTTTTAGAGGTTTCTCATTTTGGGGAAACTACTATAATGATACAGGATATCTCATATGACCATGCATTCTGAAATCCCATCTATATTATGGCAAAGTAGTCATTCAAATCATAGGGCAAAAATTGTGTGGAACTGTATTTCATCAATAATTCATCAATAATTTGATGAGCAGTTTTATTTCTTTTGGGAAGCACTTAGAAAGCATGTACCTTGAATTACAGAAACAGAAAATGTTGATCAAATAGATCTAAAATTGAGTTTTGATCTAATCAGTATAATTCAGACAGTATCACAGATAACCATTAAGTTCAAGAAATGCATCAGAGAAAGAGCTGTACTCCAAAACAAAGCACAGCTGGGATATCAGCATCACTTACAGTAACTCTGGCAGCCCTTCGACTTGTTTTTGTTTAGTACCATTCAGCATTAGTAAGGTTCTCTGAGAGTCAAAACAAGGCCGCTGTCCTATTTTCTTTGACACCTGAATCTTTCCAGACCCAAGCACACCAGTTTTCCCCAAGGCTGGTAAATAGGAATATACCTGTTGAAAAATAATATTGCATTATTTTCTCAACTACAAAAACAGCAGTAAAGAGAAATTATTTGATTCATTTCACTATTACATTTGGTTATATTTTCTTGGTTGCATCACTATGGTTGCCACTCTATCTTGGTTGAACATAATAAAATATTAAGAAAACTAGTTTTGTGTCAAAGTCAATACCATGTGAACAACCAGAAAAACACCTTCTTAAAAATAATTATTTTTTTCTAATTCAATTTTGATCCTCATTTAGGAAAGCTCTTTTGATTAGTCTTATGCCCAACAGGTATGATTCATTTGCACATTTTATATGTATGATTTACATACAACTGGTATTTTGTAATTTCCATTCTGATAATGCCTTGAACAGAAAACAAGTCTTTCTTCAACAGAAAACAAAATAAGGAATAAAAACATCCTTAAAGGATTGTTGCAAAACAGAATTTGACTAATATCTAAAGATATTAATATCTAAAGATAGATATTAATATCTACATATCTAAATTAATATTGCCTTATTAATAATAATAAATAATTATTATTAAATATTAATATCTAAAGATAGCCAAAATAAAACTGGAAAACTTTAAATCAAATGTAGCTTATATGCATAATATTTTGCTTTTTAAATACCATTTAGAATTTTGTTGGATCTAGTTCTTTCCAAAATAATAACCTATGTAGGAATTTTATTAGGAAACAAGGATTTTTTAGTTTTCTATGATCAACCCTTGGCTACGCTCAAAAGTAATTAAAATTTCTTTTTCCTTTCTTTTCTTTCTTTGTTGTTGTTGTTGTTGTTGTTGTTGTTGAGACAGGGTCTTAGTGTGCCACCTAGGCTACAGTACAGTGGTTATCACAGGTCACTGCTGCCTCGACCTCCTGGGATTAAGGATCCTCCCACCTCAGCCTCCCGAGTAGCTGGGACCACAGGCATGTGCCACCATGCCCAGCTAATTTAACTTTTTTTTAGAGACAGAGTATTGCTATGTTGCCCAGGCTGGTCTCGAACTCCTGGGCTCAAGGGATCCTCCTGCCTCAGCTTCCAAAAGTGTTAGAATTATAGGCAGGGGCCATCATGCTCGGCCTTAAAATTTCTATTTGGTGATTACCTTCCCCCCACTGCCCCTGGAGAAGGGGTCTCACTATGTTGTCCAGGATGGAATGCAGTGGCTATGCACAAGTGCAACCATAATGCACTACAGCTTCAAATTCTGGGGATTAAGCAATCCTCCCGCCTCAGTCTCCTGAGTAGCTGGAACTACAGGCACTCACCTGCAGGCACTCACCTACAGGCACTCAGCACGGCCGCTGGCTTTCATTACTCTAATTAGAGACAGAAATATACTAGCTTTTATACAGAATTGAAATATTTATGAATTAATATATTCTGCCTACTTACTTGAAATAACTAAGAATTTTTTAAAATTGAGTTTGTGGGCCAGGCGTGGTGGCTCACGCCTGTAATCCCAGCACTTTGGGAGGCCGAGGCAGGCAGATCACGAGGTCAGGAGATCGAGACCCCGTCTCTACTAAAAATACAAAAAAATTAGCTGGGTATGGTGGTGGGCGCCTGTAGCCCAGCTACTCGGGAGGCTGAGGCAGGAGAATGCCATGCACCCGGGAGGCGGAGCTTACAGTGAGCCGCGATTGCGCCACTGCACTCCAGCCTGGGCGACAGAGCAAGCCTCCATCTCAAAATAAATAAATAACTAAATAAATAAAATTGAGTTTGTGAACTCACTTCTTGAAAATGTAAAGAACCAGAATAGAGAGGTACTTACCATTTTCTGAAGAGAGAGTGGCTCAGAAGAAACACTGCCAGAGCTCTGTAGACACAACTTTTTAAAGACTGCCTCTGCAACAAACATTTGAAGCCAGGAGGAGGAAAAGGAGCAAATGAAAATCTCTAATTCCTGTGAAGAAAAGTCTGGAGAACATAAGGTAAGTTAATATAGTTATTGCTGTATCCTATACAATTTTTTCCATAGGCTATTTCCTTAGTGAAGTTTATTCTGTCAAATGAGAGCTCTTACACCTATAAGATTCATCCACATGATTTTAATCCACAAAAAATAGGTCATATCACTATTCCTTGACTTTTAAGAGAAAATATTTAATGGCACATGTTCTCACACTTGAAAAAAACAATCATTAGGTTTGATTATTTCAGATACAAGTCTTGAAATTACATATATACAGATTAGGTAATATATGAATATATAGAGGGGATTTTATTTATCACTATACTTTCCAACTACCATTAAAGATCTCTTCCCACAATAGGGATGCTTCTTTGGAAAACCAGTAATTAGTTTTTAAATGAACATACAAGTATTTAATTTGCAATGATCAGTACTGAGTTGACAGGAAGAAAGTAGACTGCTTCCTATGACAACACCCATGAATCTTATCACTGCAGAAAAGGAGGAAAGGCACAAGGTAAAGAAGAAAAACATGAAACAAGAAGAAACGCACAAGGTAAAGAAGAAAAACAAGAAAGGCACAAGGTAAAGAAGAAAAACATGAAACGAGCATGTATAAAGAAAAACATGAAACAGGAGCATGTATAAAGAAGAAAAACATGAAACGAGCATGTATAACGACTTCCTCAGAAGTTTGCACCCACTCTACTATGGGGGATGGTGGATAATTTTTTTTTTTTTTTTGAGACGGAGTCTCGCTCTGTTGCCAGGCTGGAGTGCAGTGGTGCGATCTCGGCTCACTGCAACCTCCGCCTCCCAGGTTCAAGCGATTCTCCTGCCTCAGCCTCCCAAGTAGCTGGGACTACAGGTGCGTGCCAGATGGTGGATAATTTTAAATGATGAAACAAAAAACAAGAAAACACCAAGAGCCTCAAATATCTTCTACAAAACCTCAAGAACTTCAATAAGAAGAAAATGCATAAATATACCCATGAATTCAAAGTGATAAAGGAGTGACTATTTCCCATGTGATCTATTTAATATTATAAACTATTAATATTCTCTATGTAACATAATGAAAATGC
This sequence comes from Homo sapiens, assembly GCF_000001405.40. Lineage (NCBI taxonomy): Eukaryota > Metazoa > Chordata > Mammalia > Primates > Hominidae > Homo > Homo sapiens. Next base: position 94,685,492 of record NC_000005.10, on the reverse strand, counting down.
AACAAAATGATAATGAAAGAATAAATAAGACCAACCAAGAGGATATCAAAAAAGCTAAAATTACAAACAATATAAAAAAGTTGTGATATTATACAATAAGGGAGATTAACTATAAATACTGGAAGAATAAAGAATAAGTCAATACAGTTAGCAAAGTAAACATAATAAACAGCAGAAGAGAAGAATTAAAATTATAAGCATTAAGTTAAAATATAGTTTTAAAATCAGACAATGATAAACTTAATAGCAGTATAAGGCATAAAAGCTGGCCTCTCTATTCAGGGGTGGAATTCTTTCAGCGTGAAGAGAATGCAGACACCCAGTCAATGTCCTGCTCAGATGCCTTCATAAAAGGCTGGGGCTCTAGTGTCTTGTAGTCCTTGACCCTTGACTCTGATTTTCAATAGTGGATGGGAGAAGTAAAAGAGGATTTGCTCTCAGGTAACATTTGGTAATTTCTGGTTGCCACATTGGGGAAAGGGATGCTATTGGCATCTAGTGGGCAAAGGCCCAGGACGCTGCAATACACAGGACAGCCCCAACAACAAATAATTATCCAGCCCAAAACATAATCAGTATACAGGCTGAGAAACTTGCCTTGACTAAAGAGATCTGATGCCCTTGCCTTGTGGCAGCTTGTCATAAGGAGTGTTTAAACCTTTGGGCAAATGGCTTCAGGTCAGATGTTAACCAGATACAACTAACCCCAAACAGATATATTATCACTGAATTTAGATAATCCCTTCCAATATGGCCTCTACAGAGATACTTTTTTTTTTTTTTTTTTTTTTTTTTGAGACAGAGTCTCGCTCTATTGCCCAGGCTGGAGTGCAGTGGCGTGATCTCGGCTCACTGCAACCTCTGCCTCCCGGGTTCACACCATTCTCCTGGCTCAGGCTCCCGAGTAGCTGGGACTAGAGGTGCTCGCCACCACGCCCAGCTAATTTTTTGTATTTTTAGTAGAGACAGGGTTTCACCGTGTTAGCCAGGATGGTCTCAATCTCCTGACCTTGTGATCTGCCCGCCTTGGCCTCCCAAAGTGCTGGGATTACAGGGGTGACCCACCGCACCTGGCCGAGATACAATTTTTATGAGTTGGAAAGGAGAAAAGAATTACTTACAACCCGTTCTCTTGCTACTACTGAGGCTCTGTTAATATTATCTAAAAATGTACAAGCAGTAAACTGAAGGATAAGAATCAAAAGATAATTTGAACATTTAATCTCTAATTATATACATTAAAAAGCCTATCTATCATCACAGAGTGTACTGCAACCAATTGATCTCTTAACGTAAGAACTCTAGACAGAGGCAAAAGCAAAGCAAAAATAACTTGTAGAGTTCAAAAGAGTTGATCTCACATTGAAATTTACAAATGGAGTTATTTATCTAATAAGGATCACATCTGGTAGGCTTATAGAAATAAGGAATACAAAGTATTAATATGACAGGTCGACATATTACCAGGCCACAAAGTCAAGGGGAATAAAAAATAATAGATGAACAAGAGAACACAAGAAAATTAGCCCGTGGACTGTAAGAACTTTAAGGAAAGGGTCATACTTGTAGTCCTTACAGTATATAGGTCATTAATCTGTACAGAGTAAACATTTAGTATTTGACAGATGAATGAATGAACAGTTAGCAAATACCAATAACTAATAACAGAAAGCCAAGCTGGGACAATCTTTTTAAATCAAGTTAATGAGATCATGCTACTCTCTTGTTTCAATAGCTTCTAACTCCTTAACAAGGCTTACAAATTCCTACACAAACTCCCTTAACCCTTCTTTGGCCTTATTCTGGCCTCTCTTCCCATCAGCCAGGCCCCAGAAGGTCTCAAACAGTCCTTCTTTCCTATTCAGAGTTTTGGTAAATGTTACCTTCTGACTAAAACAATCTGCCCTGTCAAACTTCTACTTACTCTTCATGTTCTGCATTCCATGGTCATACAGTATAAAAGTAAGTTCACCAATCTCAACACCTAGTTTTTCCTGTTCAGAGCACTTATTTTAAATGACATATTTATATTAACTTAATTACCGTTTATCTCTCTTAAAGTTCCAAAAGTAAAAATAAAATAAAAAAACCACAAGGACCATGTTTTGTTTACTTCTTCCACTGTATAGAAAACTGTTTAGCTCAATGCCTGGTAGAATGCCAATAAAATTTTGCTGAATAAACGAAGAGAACAGAAACATTTTGGCTTAGAGTTAGTAATGATACATAAACATTTATATTTAGGAAAAAGGTCTGAAGCATGGAAAGAAATTAAGGGATAACAAAGCAAAAGTGAATAAAGGTTTGGAAAAAGTATTTATCAGGCAATAATGATGTAATCTGAGAAAGGCAAAGGAAATTTATTAAAGTTCTCCAAAGATATGAAAAAAAAACCTATAGTAAATTTTGATGACATCTTCTTTCCCACTGAAACAACTGGAGAAGAAATACGTTTAAGTCAGGATTGGCAAACTATGGTGTGCTGCCTGTTTTTACGAATAAAGTTTTACTGGAACACAGCCATGCTGTCTGTTTATGTATTGTCTATGGCTGCTTTCTTACTACAACTGCAAAGTTGAGTGGCAGGGAGAGACTGTAGGGCCTAAAAAGCCAGTAATATTTACTGTCTGGTACTTAACATTGAACGAATTTTGTTAATCTGTAGTTTAAGCCACTACATGAGGAATTTCAATCAGGCATAAAAAAGAAATTTCAGATAATTTGAGCTTAAAATACAGAAAAGAAAATTTCTGTCCAAAGTGTTTAGAAACAACATAGAGTGGCATCTATATGGAACTGATGAACATGAGATCTGATGGAAAAAATTTTATTTATCTTCTAAAATATCTGTTGCCTTAATTCTTGACAAAACAATTATAAACTAAAAATTATACTAAACTGAAATGAATTTGATAGATGTGAATCTCAGTTGTGTCACAGTATGAATTTTGTACTTCTGAACTAGGAAATATTAGAACATCCAGTTTACCATAATTGAGAAAGATGGACCGATATCTTCAACTGGAAGTTATATAACAGTGAAATTAGAACATCTTTACTAATGACTTGGGAAAAGCAAAAGATAGTAACTGAGTAGAAGAATAATGCAAAATAAATGATTTTTTTTAAAAGGAATATCCGCAGAGAAAAGAAATGAGGGAAAAAAAGAGGTGGCAGACAATGAATTTCAAAATTCTTCATCAAAATATGAACAAAATGGACATTATTACAACACCCCAGAATTTTGATTCTGTGTGTGACTAACATGAGCTTAAACTCAACCTTAGTGTTACTGTTATAATCCTGTTGATGGATTATTTTGCTCTCAAAGATCTATTAATATATTTGATCACTAACATTCAAAACTTTAGATGAGATTTAAATTGTCACTATTGAAAAGTGTTTTTAAGCCTTTTTCTTTACCTTTCTCCAAATGTATACATGTGCACACGCGCACATGCACACACACACACATGCACACACACGCACAGTTGGTTGCTTAGCCTTCAAATTTGGTTATAGCTAGGCAATTTAAAAGTTTTAAACATTATTTTTTGTTGTTGAGAAGAGTCTCACTCTGTCCCCCAGGCTGGAGGCTACTGGTTTATGATAAAATGTTCACTGGATTTCTGTCTCTTGACAAAGGTTAAACATCAACCTGCACTAACAGAAAAGAAAAAACTAGACATGGATGAAATTGGAAATCATCATTCTCAGTAAACTATCGCAAGAACAAAAAACCAGACACCGCATATTCTCACTCATAGGTGGGAACTGAACAATGAGAACACATGGACACAGGAAGGGGAACATCACACTCTGGGGACTGTTGTGGGTTGGGGGGAGGGGGGAGGGTTAGCATTGGGAGATATACCTAATGCTAGATGACGAGTTAGTGGGTGCAGCGCACCAGCATGGCACATGTATACATATGTAACTTACCTGCACATTGTGCACATGTACCCTAAAACTTAAAGTATAATAGTAATAAATAAAAAATAAAAAAGAAAATAGAAAAATATTAATTTGAACCATTTTTAGAAATACATGTTTAAAACTTTTGGCTGGGCGCAGTGGTTCACACCTGTAATCCCAGCACCTGGGAAGCCGAGGTGGGCAGATCACCTGAGGTCTGGAGTTTGAGACCAGCCTTGCAAACATGGTGAAACCCCCATCTCTACTAAAAATACAAAAAGTTAGCCAGGCTTGGTGGCATACACCTATAACCCCAGCTACTTGGGAGGCTGAGGCACAAGAATTGCTTGAACCGGGGAGGCAGAGATTGCAGTGAGCCGAGATCATGCCACTGCACTCCAGCCTGGGGGACAGAGTAAGACTCTGTCTCAAAAAAAAAGACAAAAGAAATAATGTTTAAAACTTTTAAACTGCCTAGCTATAACCGAATTTGAAGCCTAAGCAACCAACTGCGTGTGTGTGCACATGCACACGTGTACATTTTGAGAAAGGTAAAGAAAAAGGCTTAAAAGTACTTTTCAATAGTGACAATTTAAGTCTCATCGAAAGTTTTGAATGTTAGTGATCAAATATATTAATAGATCTTTGGGAGCAAAATAATCTGTGACAGGATCATAATAGTAACACTAAGGTTCAGTTTAAGTTCATGTTACTCACAGAATCAAAGTTCTAGGTTTTACACATGTCATGTGAAAACTGAAAATAACACTGGATAACAATGTCCTGCTTTAAAGCGAAGGGAAATTCAGAATATTAGTGAAGAAAGCATTGAAGCAAATGTATAACAGGTAGTAGAATCCTTTTAATACAAGGCTCATTATTTCATGCATTTGGCTAAACTATAAAATAAATTATAATTCCTTAAGGGCAATTACTATGTATTGGAAACAAGACATCTAACTATCCTGATAATCTCTAAAGCCACTGCTAATCCTCTACTAGGTCTCCAAACTCAAATTTCATTAAGGAATGAAAACAGGAAATTCTGTTAGTCAAATGCTTAGTTCCCATTCTAGCAAATAATGCCAGAATTCTGTTTTCTGAAAAGGATAAAAACCACTAAACTACCTAGTAGGAATGGTGGGAAAGAAATATAAGAAAGGGTTCTGCAGGAAGATTGAATGTTAGCTAAGAAATGTTAAAGTCATGCAACAAAGGACAGCTACTCCACAAAAGGAACTGTAATCACCCCCTCAGCTCAATGAAAAAGAAAAAAATAAAAGAGATAAAATGCTTTAGATAAAAATCTTCTAACTTTGGTAGTATAAAAAGAGAACTCTCTCTGCAGAGGGCATCATCGAATAAATCCTGAACCCAGTTATAACCTGGATTCCTATTCTGAAGTCTCTCTTCAAAGTATTAAAGTGATTGATGGCATACTGAAGAATTTTTTCTTTATATAAAATCAAGATACACTGAAACACATGTGTAGCAGAGTACTTATTTGGCAGTTTAAAATATCAAGTATATAAAAGTATATAAAAATAATCTTTTATAGGTAAGAACCACAAAAAAACTTACTTGGTTTAAAATGTATTCATTTTAGGAATTAAGGATTACAGAAATAAAGAAATAAAGAAAAAAAGGGAAGGATGGGCAAAGACTCTCCCTAAACTGGCTATGGAGTTTGGGAATCTACATAAGGTCTTTATGGAAGCCTCCTTCAGTCTAGAGGCCCAAAGAATTGGGTAGAACTTTTCACCTTGTGAAATGAGTTCTGCTATCATGTTTCTTAAATAACACTCCTTCCTCCCTTTATTTTAGGGGAGACTTTAAAGTAGGTAATGGGGAGAAAAGAAGAGTGAAAAAAATTATCCATATAAATTACTTCTGTTTGCTTCATCCATGTTCATTTCTTGTTAGAGCACCAGACTCAATGGGGAAAAAAATAGTAGCAAGTTTTTTTTGTTTGTTTTTTTTTTTAAAGAGACAGGGTCTTGCTCTGTCACCCAGGCTGGAGTGCAGTGGCACAATCATGGCTCCCTGCAGCCCTGGACTCCTGGGCTCAAGGGATCCTCCCACTGCAGCCTCCAGAGTAGCTGGGACTACTAGCATAGACCACGTCCAGCAAATTTTTAAATTTTTTTTTAAAGACAGAGTCTTGCTATGTTGCACATGCTGGTCTCAAACTCCTGGGCTCAAGAGATCCTCCCACCTCGGCTTCCCAAAGTAGGTTGGGATTACAGGTGTGAGCCACTGCACCAGGTAAAATAATTATATTTGAATAATAAATGTATGTGGGGGGAAGTCTCCTGTAATGTTTAGAGGAAAATAAGAATGCAAAATTACATATATAGTATGAACTCAACTATACAAAAATGCTTAGAAATACCAGAAAGACATTAAAAAGTTAACAGCAGTTATCTGTGTAGGAACAATATGGGTACTTTAAATCTTCCTCTTTATATTGTCTGTGTGTGTGAATCTATGTGTGCGTGCATCCATAACTATTTTAAGGAAAGTTTCAAATGAACATATGTTAAAGCTTACAGACTGCTTAAAAGAAATTCAAAACTAATTTCCAGAATGGGTCTGAAAAAAACAGAACATAGACAAACTTACCATCACACGAAAGAGAAACATAACTTCCTAAGTCATCAGACATGTGTCGCATCACATTTCTACCCATCTTAAGACCAAGGAAAATCCAATAATCTATTGCTGCTCCAAGAATTCCAGCCAATAAGTAAGCTAGTTCATGTTTGAAGACCTAACATTAAGATACAAAAAAATTACTAAAATATATTACAATATTGAATTTCTGTTAGTATTTATTTTGAATACTTTTTGAGGGGCAAAACATAGCTATTTAAAAATACAGGGTATGTAATGATTAAAGGTATTCTTAAGAACCCTAGCTAACTAATTCTCTCCCCTCCATCTCTCTCTCTCTCCACATGACAAAAGAGTTAACAAAGCAAATTTTCCAAGGACCTACAACTTAACAGTTTAGAATAAACTTTAATTTTATCCAATACCATCAAGTTTGTTAGGAAATAATTCCATTAAAATAATGAGAAAATACCTGGTTTTTGTAGATTTTTATAAATAGGAGAGATAGGACTATAAAAGAAGATAGATTTATCTACCTCCACTGTTTATATACAGAATTATTCTTTACATTTCTCTTTATGACATTTTCCAGAAAGACTTGAGAAACCCAATGAATAAAAGTTCTAGTAAACAAGATTATTCATTTGCTATAATATACTGATTCCAATTTTTATTATTTAATTATATATCAAATACTAATTACCCAACTTAGAGATGTAGAGATCAGTTTTAAAAGTATATCACTGGCCGGGCGCGGTGGCTCACGCCTGTAATCCCAGCACTTTGGGAGGCCGAGGTGGGTGGATCACGAGGTCAGGAGATTGAGACTATCCTGGCTAACACGGTGAAACCCCGTCTCTACTAAAAATACAAAAAGTTAGCCGGGCGTGGTGGCGGGCACCTGCAGTCCCAGCTACTCGGGAGGCTGAGGCAGAAGAATGGCGTGAACCCGGGAGGCGGAGCTTGCAGTAAGAGGAGATTGTGCCACTGCACTCCAGCCTGGGTGACAGAGTGAGACTCCGTCTCAAAAAAAAAAAAAAGTATATCATTTTATATGATTACTTTTATAATAAACATCATTAAATTCTTATAAGAAATGTAACAAGGCATACAAACCTTCTAAGCGTGCTTTACCCTACGCTAATGTTTGAAAGTATTTTTCTAATCTCTAAAATTCAGTAGAAACTATGAAGATGAAGAAGTGTGAAAATGAAATTTTAAAAACACCTTTGATTGAAATATAAACACTTTTTCAAAGCATTAAAACCAGCTGAAATTCTTATGTTCTTGTTATTTGTTGTCTAGGCATGTTGGATATGTAGGAAAAAAAATCACTAAATTAATAGTTGGGTAAAAGGCATATGAAAACATTTTAATAAATGCTACAGTAATAGATTATAACTATGTTCTGCCATCTAATTTCTTTCTAATTAATCCCATATTAGGCATATATTATGCTTAAATAACATAATATATAACATTCTGTTCATGTATAAAAGATTACAGTATAAAAGGATCTAAGAACCTGGTCTATAACTAATAGATCTAATATTACTAATAACCTAATCTATTATCACAATATTTATTAAAACCTTTTCACATGCCTTTTACCCAACTGTTTTGTGATTTTTTCACATATCCAACAAGCCTAGACGACAAGTAACAGGAATTTCAGCTGGTTTTAATGTTTCGAAAAAATGTTTATATTTAAATCAAAGGTGTTTTTAAAATATTATTTTCACACTTTGTCTTCATAGTTTACATGGAATTTTAGGGATTAGAATAGTACATTTTACATAAAAGGCACTTCCAAATCAGGTTCTTGGATCCTTTTATACTATAATCTAAACTAACACACTCATAAACAGTATGTTATTATGTTATATATTACGGAATAAATTATGTGTATTTCAGTGTATTAGAGTTATATATTACAGACCAAACTAGCACATATTATGCCTAATATGGGATTAGTGAGAAAGAAATCCCTAGCACTCTGAACCCTCAGTGACTACTGGATTTGTTTCTCCTGCCCTCAGGTAAGAAATTTCTTATATGTATATTCAATATTTCATTGGGATATCATTCCATATCTAATAGCTCTAGCTAGCAGATAAATGATTTCAAAACCAAAGTTTAATTTCTGGTTTATTGTGCAAACATAAGCAAATGGTCCAGCAGCACATAAAACCAGCTTGCCAGAACAGTGTTTATGGAAGGAAAACACAGTCAGGACCAGTAGCATGTGTGCAGGTCCTCTGTTGTCCTATCACATCAAGGGCAGCATACTGCATTCGTGTAGGGCTAGACATTAGAATCTAGGAGAGAGACCCTCAAGTGTGGGGCTGAGGAGATTTTTAAAAGCTGCATGATTAAGAAAGTGGTGTACTTCTTCGGACATGATCAGCGACCAAGACAGCCAGCCAGATCCTAGCAGGTGAGTCTTCACAGGTGGCTGTCAATCCCACCCAGTCTCCTGCCTTGATAGGACAGCTGAGTTTAAGCCTTGCAGTTGCGGCTATATGGCATGGGAAACCAGCAGCAGGTCTGACCACATCAGTAGCACCAACACCTCCCCTGGTGTGATCGGCAGGACTAGGGTCTAGTGCTAGTCTCCAGAAAACACTGCAGGAAATCAACTCCATTCTCTGTAAAGCCAGTATCTTGCTTGATCACTCTGAGCAAGTTAGTTAATCCTTACTTCTCACTGTTATCAAGAGAATATAAAACAGAACAGTGAAAATATATATTTAAACTAGTAAACTGATTATGTCCATATGCACATATGCATCCACAAAATGTTCCTTCCAACATAATATGTATCTGAATATCAGCAGTGACAGTACTCAGGAAAGAAGCAAGAGGTTGGTAAATTTTGATTTCTGAAAGTATTCTCCATCTCAAGGGTATAGTAAATCAAGATCACTTTAGACCACCCAGGCTTTAAGACTCTGGGCAGGAAAGAAGGATGTTAGCCCACAAAGTGAAGCCTTATATAAAAACACAATCCAGCTTTCCAACAACCAAAAACAACATTTAAAAAAAAAAAAAAAAAAAAAATCAACCAGTTGGGACTTTCCCTCCTTCCTTATATAAATATGTGGTACATACAGTTAAAATCACAATAGAATATTAATATATTGCTTAATATTAAATTTACCTTGATATTAATGTTATTAAACAGAAGAGGTCTTGCAGTGATTTCGAGGAATAACTATAGCTTTTTTACTATGATAAAAAAGATCCTGCCAAAGTTGTTGTTCTTTTCATGTCATTAGCTAAACATGCACACTACTACATAGCCATAATAGTAAGTTTTTATATGAAAAGACACTTTCAACTCAGGTTCTTAGATCCTTTTATACCATAATCTTAACTAGCACACTCATAACAATAATAGGGCCAAGACAGTGTGCTATGGACTATACTCACTGCCACTTTAACAATACATCAACGATGCTATTCCTTCCAGTATTAGTGGATATATAAGCTTTAGAAATAGATTAGTAAGAAAATAGTAAATAAATCATCAAAGGAAAACAGCTTTCTTGGAATACTGAAATATTTGTTAAAGCTGACAGAAGAGAACACGAATACCCTAAGAATTAACAAAGAAATAAAAGGTTGACAAGATTTGCATATATGATATATATTTACCTTAGAATTCCTTTCTAATATGTTTAACTCTATTACCAGACATTCTGTCAATGTGGTTCTATATCATCTGCCAGTAGAGATAACTTCTAGTTTATAAAATTGGCAATCTTCCAAAACTTGACTAATCTGTAAAGTAGAACAAACTAGCATCTTGGCCTTCTGACTCCCAGGTTAGGGATTTCCATGATATCCCACTGTAATATGTGACAAACTACTCTGTTGGAAAGATGCAAACATAAAGCACACACTGTGCCTCTTCCTGTTTTAAACACTGGCATTTGAAACATGAGAAAGTGTGGTGCAGTGGAGACTTGGCCTCTAGTCAAGGCTTTGCCCTAACAAGCTGTGACACCTTGAATAAGTTATTTAAACTCTTTATCAACTTTCTTATCTATTAATATAAACTAGCTTACATTTCTACCTATATTGTAGAATTATCAATAGCACTTAAGAACATCTCAAAGAAAAGTGGGACTAGTAAAAATTGTACCTCCTCCATAACCTTGACACAGCCCACCTCTGCTCTTTGCCAAGGAAAGCCCAACATTTTCTCAGATTAATGACAATGAAATTCACTGCCATTGTGTCACTCTGCAATACTTGCTGATTGACATTATGACAAAACAATATTAGCATAAACTGAGGACTTCTGTTTAGCTAATGACTTAAATTGAATACTTCAACTCAGCAAATCAAGAAACAAATGCTTTACAGTACAGAAAATGATGTCTGTGAACATGCATGGAATTCTTGAAACTGGAAACTGCCAAAAAGATTTAATTAAGTACAAGAATGAATTCTAGCAGAAAGGTAATACAATTTTTAAAAAGCAGTTTTATATCAATTTAAGCAATTCAAATGTTAAATAAAATATTAATTTGCAAAATTTAAAACCAGTTCTCATATCACAATGCTACAATTTATTGCAGACTGCTTCACACATATGTTGCTTTTATTTATAAGTTTGAACAAAAATCTTCAAGTTAAATATGTATAAATCTGTTACTATTTACATCAGAGCTTCTTAAGTAATTTCTTATCTGTGATAGTCCCTTGAAGACTTAGTAAAATTGTGACAACATCATTTTATTGTTTTAAATTATAAATGAGCAATTTCATTTATGTAATCAAATGAATGAAAAAAAGAAACGTTCTATAATGAAGAAATATTTTCTATCCTTAATGATTGCATTGTATAAAAAGTAAATAAAAAGACAGATGGTAATTTATAAAGATGCTATCAGCTTTAAAGTGCTATACTCAATTGGCAATGAGGTCTAAATAGTAGTCCTATTTAAGTATTTTCAATTTCTGTAATTTGCAAAATTATACTTCCTTTTAAATCAGATACATGCACAAAACAGTGTCTACTCACCTGGTTATTGTTAAATAATAGGATTACTTGATCACAAACAAATCTAGCTATACTCAGAGCAATCTTCCCGTTTTAATGCTGATTTAGAAAAAAAAAAATAGTACCTCAAAAAGAACTAACTTTTATTTTCCTGCCTCAGACAACTAAACAAACAGTATTTTTTAAAAAACCAGCAAGAACTTCTATTTCTAATGAAGGCCTAGGTAATTCAGATGAATTTTTTTTTTTTTTTTTTTTTTTTAAGAGACAAGGTCTCACTCTGTCACCCAGGCTGGAATGCTGCGGCGCAATCATAGCTCACTGCAGCCTCCAACTTCTGGGCTCAAGCAATCCTCCCAGGGCAGCCTCTCAAGTAGTTAAAACTAATACATGTGCACACCACTACATCTGTTTTATTTTTGGTTTTGTTTTGTTTTTTTGGTAGAGATGGGGGTCTCACTATGTTGCTCAGACTGGTCTTGAGCTCCTGGCCGCAAGCAATCCTTCCACTTCAGCATATCAAAGTGCTGGGATTACAGGCAGGAACCACTGCACCCGGCCTCAATTGAACCCACTTAGAGAAGAAAACTAAAACTAAAAATGTTAAATAAAATAAGCAAAACATTTCAGAAAAAAAAGAGAACAAATTATGAGGAAGTGCTAGGCCAAAATCTAGTGAGGTACTCAAGGGAGCTACTCAGATACCTGACTTCGCCCTGAGGACTTTCACTGATTTTAAGGAAGAATCTAGAATACAGAACTGTGGTTTCTGGAGCACAAGGGAAGAAAAGATTAAAAAAAAAAAAAGTCATGGCCAAAAGCTAATTGCTCATAGGATGAAAAAGTGAAGGGCTTCATCCTCATGGTAAGAGTGAATCAGAAGCAAAACTAAATGTATATGTAGCCCTTTACTTCATTTGAACTACCCAGAGTCCCCCAAACATAGACATTGGATTAGAATAGTCCTTAACTAGTGGTACACCCAGGCACTTGGCAGAAGTTCAACAGAAATTCTTTCTGGGGGAAGATACTCTGGTCTTTATCACGTATTGTTTCTACAAATAACTTCTCAAATGCAATTTAAAAGCATATAGTGAATAATAAGCTTGCAAGAGAAAATAAAAAAGCACAAGAGAAGGAAACAGCAAAAACAACAACAGAAACAGACCCATAAAGACTTCAGATATGGAATAATCAAGCATAGATAATAAATGTCATTGCCATGTTAAAGACAAAAGAAAACCTTGAAACTCATAAAAACAAGTCATAGTGGTTTGGAACAGTTAAAAAGTCTTTTAACTGGAAAAAACACAAAAAATTTAAATGCAATGGTCATGTTTAACAATATACTGGACATAGCTGAAGAAAGAACTAATGAACTAAAAACTGGACGAAAATACTATCCAGAATGTGGCAAGTACAGAAAAAAAAAATCTATATGGGGCGGGGGAAGAGGGAGAAAGAGGAGGACAGGGGAAATGGTAGAGGGAGAGAAAGAGGGAGAGAGAGAGAAAGGGAGGGAGATACAAGGTGAAAAACACAAAGAATATGAAGAAAAGGTATAACGTAAGTTTAATGGTAATTTAAAACGTAGAGAAGAGAAAATGGATCTGAGGAAGTATTTGACGAGAAACTACATAAGCATTTTTGTTAAGACAGAATAGACTTCATGGTAGTTTGATACCAGAGCTCTCCACCCTAACTACTATGCTTACGATCCCTGAAAAAGATATTACCTAACTAGCAGTTATAGGATCATAACTAGTAGTCATGATATATCAGTTATGAATAATAAGGTGTCATTAGCATACATGAAGCAGAAACTTAAAAATAAATAGATGAGCAAATCAACAAAGTCGATTCAGAAGGATTGATTAAAACAATTATGAAGTTTGATCCAATCCAACAGAAAAAACACATTCTGGTTCCTAGTCTTATATGGAGCCAAAAAGAGAACTTCAGTAAATTTCAGATAGCAGAAATTGCATAAGGTGCATTCTTTCACTATAATTCACTATTAGAAACTAACCAAAAAAAGCACAGCCAAACAAACAAAACCCATCTATCTAGAAATCTTAAAACATCTTTTAAAAATATCTCTTGGATCAAAGAGGGAAATCAAAATTAACAATAGAAAATACTTTGAAAAAAAACAGAGCACTCTAGGTTAAAGTACCAAACTACGAAATGAATGTCAAGTTGTACTCAACAGGTAATTTATATTAGGTGGATGTATTAGAAATGAAGACTAAAAAGAAAAAAAGATTCAAGAAGATACGAGAAAAAGTAAAAAAAAAAAAAAATTAAAAGAAAAGAGCAAAATGAATGATGTAACGCAAAAAAGGAGATAATATAATTCCAAAGGGAGATCATTCTGAAAAGGAAAAAGGTGACTAATATTTATTATGCAACCAAAATGTGCCAAAGTTATGTTGCTATATACGCTATTATCCTTGAGATGGATAATACACTAAAATCACTATATGTTAAATTTCTAATGACAGGCAAAATCAACTTATAAACAAATATTTCAGAAAATAACTCAACATCAAAAGAGGTAGTTTTAAAATAATACTAATAAATATTAATATTTATTAGTAGTACCCCTCAAAAATTGTATGGATTGACTCATTTATTTTTAAATCTTAAGTTCTTCATGAATCAAATTGCACAAAAGTAAAAAATCTAGAAAGGTAAGTAACTAGAGATTTCTTAGCAGTAACTATCATATAATTCACTAGCTACTACATGCAAACATGAGACGATGAAGGAACCAGTCTCCAAGGACCTTTTACCTTAAAACTAAACTAAATAGAAAACAATGATATATTTGGGTACATTTTAATTGTTTTCGAGTGATCCAAAGAATAAAGAGGAGAGGAAAAGGTAAATAATTCAAAGTGCTGTTTCCATAGACTATTCATCTATAAATTAATCCTACTTACATCATTAGACTTGAATTTTTCCTTGTGAGAATATATAGTCCATTCCAAAAGCATATTTACTGGTTTGGTCAAAAGCCCAGAGGTTTCACTTCCTGACCAAAAAATTTCAAGAAGCATTGCCTTTCCTGTTATTTTCAGATTCTGAGAATCTGACCAGTCATACAACCTAATTAAAATATAAACAAAAAGTATATCTTTAAGCCAATTTGATCATGACAATTACTTGACATCTCTCCTGTCAAAAAAAATGCTAGCAATTTTTGAACATAGATCATAAAATATAAAGATTATAACAATTATAATAAAGGACAAAATATAAAAAATGGCCCCAGTTCAATAAAGTCACTGACAATGTATATATACACAGTAATCTATCTGCAAGTTTTAGAGCAGGAGCAAAACTTACCATTGTAGGCTCAGTGTTTAAAATTGGTGTAGTTTTTTACTTAGCATTCAATTACTAAAGAATTTTTTTAAAATCCTAAAAAATGAAAACACTATTATCCATCCAAATGAACAGTGGAAGTGAACTGAGGAAATTTTTTAAAAGGGCATATAAACCTTTACTCCCACTGAGAA
Source organism: Homo sapiens (assembly GCF_000001405.40). Lineage (NCBI taxonomy): Eukaryota > Metazoa > Chordata > Mammalia > Primates > Hominidae > Homo > Homo sapiens. The sequence continues at coordinate 94,670,429 of NC_000005.10, read as the reverse complement.
TATCTGGAAATATGTTTTAAAAACAAATCTATCTTAAAATAGAAAATAAGGTGACTTTTTAGAAATATATTTATAATAATTGTAAAAAAAAAATGGTGCATAAAAACAACCAAAATTTAGAAAAGTGTTATTCTTGCGATTAGAACTTACTTTTGACTCAGATGTTGTACTTCACTTTCAATTAAATTAAAGAAAAATTTGAGTAGCGTCAGGTGGAGCACCTTGGAGCCAATATTTTCTGAAATTTGATGACAAAAGCTTTCATTGAAAAGGCAAGACCTGAAAAACATGAACCCAAAAATCTATAACATACAAGCAATTCACTAAGTCATTTGTGAACAAAATATTTCTCCTTCTAGAATACTGCTGGAATTTTAATAAAATTTTCTTAAAATAGAAAGTTCAACAAAATTTTATGAATATATTTCTTCCTTCAAAAATTAAACAATGTCAAATATCTCATGAGTACTTAATTCTTAATAAATAGATCTAATTTCTCAATTTTTCAAGTTATTATAATATTTAATGACTAGCAGGTACTCTCCCTTTGTGCTCTTTATTTCACTGATGAGAACAAAGATTATAGATTTCATTAAGTCCTTTTGATTTAAATGACCAGCTAACCTCTCAATTTATAATACTCGCCAGAATCCTCCTCTTTCTTACCCAAGATTACTTTCTTTTTCATTAGTTAGTAAATGAAGATTATTTAGGGCTACTTTTTTAGCGTTTTTAATATTCATTATTTTATTTTCTTTCTGTCTTCTAGAGCAGTCCTCTCCAACTGAACTTTCTGTGATGATGTATATGTTCTACTAGACACTTGAAATGTGGCTTGTATACCCAAGGACCCACATTTTTAATTACTTTGTCTGAATAAAATTTAAATATAAATAGATATGGCTAGTGGCTATTGGGTCAGACAGCACACTTCTATAATATATTTCTAAAGAGAATAGAAGATTACTCAGAACTCTAGGATTTAAGAAATAGTGTCTAGGTAACACTATTTATTACAATCTCCCACTTTTCTTATTGATTATATCAACAATGCACTTATAACTTTCTACCTCTGTCTCCACTTCCGCTGTCTTCTTTTTTAATACAACATTCTCAGGAGAGTCCTTAGTAGCTTTAACAATTTATTTAATATTCAATCTATCTATAAGATCCTTCATGCCCACATAGTTAATCAGTCTTTCTGAAAACTGTCAGAGATAGAGAACTTACGTTTCTCTATGCATTATGGAATATTTCAAATATATACAAAAGTAGAGACTAGTATTACTTAGCTCATTCATATTCCTACCACTTCCCTAAGCACCTCCACAGTACCCCATTATTTTGAAATGAAATCTGGGTATTTTTGTTTAAAAGTCTATTTTTAAGCTGCCCAAAATCTATCACCTACAGCATCAATAAATTCATCCAAACCTTTATTAAGTACTTACATTCCAGGCATTATATTAGATATTAAGGATGGAGATATTTAAGACTGAACACCTTCTGTAAGAGGGAAGTTTAAAGAAAGAAAAACAAGACTGAGCACCTCTCTTTAAGAAAGTCATAGGCCTGATGTGAATGACAAACTTAAAGGAAAGGTCAAGAGTAAGAAAGTGGCAGCTAAATTGCATTTTAAGGGAAAACTATGGCTGAGCATGGTGGCCCATTCCTGTAATCCCAGTGCTTTGGGAGGACAAGGTAGGAGGATTGCTTGAGCCCAGGAATTTGAGACCAGCCTGGGCAACACAGGGAGACTTCACCTCTACAAAAAATTTAAAAATTAGTCATGTAGGCCTGGCACAGTAGCTCATGCCTGTAATCCCAGCACTTTGGGAAGTGGAGGCGGGTGGATCACCTAAGGTCAGGAGTTTGAGACCAGCCTGACCAACATGGTAAAACTCCATCTCTACCAAATACAAAAAAAAATCAGCAAGGCGTGGTGGCGCATGCCTGTAATCCCAGCTACTTGGGAGGCTGAGGCAGGAGAATCGCTTGATCCTGCGAGGCGGAGGTTGCAGTGAGCCGAGATCGCACCACTGCACTCCAGCCTGGGCAACAGAGCGAAACTTCTTCTCAAAAAACAAACAAACAAACTACAACCACAACCACAACAACAAAATTGGCCAGGTGTGGTGGTGGGCACCTGTAGTCCCAGGTACTCAGGAGGCTGAGGCAGGAGAGTGGCCTGAACCCAGGAGCTCAAGATTGCAGTGAGCTATGATCCCGCCACTGCACACTGTCCTTGGTGACAGTGAGATTTGAAAAGGAAAGAAGAGAAAAGAAAAGGGAAAAGGGAAAGGAAGAAAAGTGAAGACAAGGGACAAAGGAGAAGAGAGGAGAGGAGAGAGGAGAGAAGAGAGAAGAGAAGTGAAACGAAGCAGTGAGGCATGGTGGCTCATGCCTTTAATCCTGGCACTTTGGGAGGCTGAGGCGGGCAGAAAACTTGAGCTCAAGTGGTGGAGACCAGCCTGGGAAACATGGTAAAACCCCATTTCTACAAAAAATACAAAACTAGCCAGGCGTGGGAGCACATGCCTGTAGTCCCAGCTATTCAGGAGGCTGAGGCGGGAGGATCACCTGAGCCTGGGAGTTTCAGGCTGCAGTGAGCCGTGATTGTGCCATTGCACTCCAGTCTGGGCAACAGAGTGTCTTAAAAAACAAAACAAAACAAAACAAACAAACAAACAAAAAAGCTAGGAAATTCGGAAAACATAAGAGCAAAAGACAGGATATGGAAAATAACTATTGGACACATTCAAGAAAGTGGTGAAGATGAGAACTGAGACATATATAAGGGCTAACTCATGAAGGGTCTTACGTATTTCGCTAAGAAATCTGAACCATCTTCTATAGGTAGTTCAATGTATGTGAGTCAATGAAGGACTTTAATATGGGAAATGACAAGATCACTTTGGAAAGAGCATACTGTGGGGGGGTACTTTGGAAGAAAAATTAAAAGGAAAAAAGTAGACCCAAGATCAATAAAGCAGCTACTGCAATAGTTTATATAAGAAGAAACAGGAACTTTAAAATAAAGACAATTGACAGTGAAGAAAGGAATAGATTTGGAAATTATGAAGGATGTCAGCCACATAAACTCTATTTTCTCACATCATATACCTATGCTGGGCTTGTACTGTTGGGCTTGTACTTTTGTGCGGTATTGTTTACATCTCAGTCACTTTCAAAGTGCAGGAACTGTTATTTAAATCATCTTTTTAATCCCTAAAATGTAGTACAGTGTCTGGCTCTCCGTAAGTACTCAAGAATTTGTTAAAAGAATGAATAAATGCATGCTGGTTAACTGATTAGCTCACTTTAAATATATCACAACCAAGATGGTATGTGAATCTTTATGATCTCAAAGAGCTAACCAGAGGTCTAGCCTTTGCATGGCTAGTCAGGTGTCCTTTCTCCACTATGAACCTCCTGAAACTGGACACTTAAATTAAAAAAAAAAAAAAAAAAAAAAAGATCTTCCCAGCCAGGCGTGATGGTCCACTCCTATAATCCCAGGACTTTGGGAGCCCAAGTCAGGCAGATCACTTGAGGCCAGCAATTCGAGACCAGCCTGGCCAACATGGTAAAAGCCCATCTCTACTAAAAATGAAAAAATACAAAAATTAGCTGGACGTGGAGGCACATGCCTGTAACTCTAGCTACTTGGAAGGCTAAGGCATAAGAATTGCTTGAGCCTGGGAGGTAGAGGTTACAGTGAGCCAAGATCAGGCCACTGCACTCCAGCCTGGGTGACAGAGCGAGACTCATGTCTCAAAAAAAGAAAAGATCTTCCCAGAAGAATAAGGGTTATCAAATACAGTTATTTGAATAGCAAGGGGAAAACATTTTCTGTTAGGGAGAAAGAAGGTGAAACAGAATTTCTGGAGACACTAACAACTGAAAGACAGAGGAAGGTCTAGGCAGTGACAGCATGTGCAGAAGCATAAAAGAGATGACATATTTAGGAAATATTAAGTTCTGTTTTAAAATTCAAATTTCTAGCTGAAAAAAATATAACTGAAGCCCTAAAATAGATACTATAGTTACAAATGTCTACACTTTTGGTGACAAAAACTGATGATATGCATATTCCATAAATTAATTTTCTTCATTTAAAAAACAATACACAAATTTCTATTTTGTTAAAAATAATAATGATTTGGCTTTCTAGTGAGTCCATTTCATGCATTCATTTTTTATTTTTTTAGGAAACAGACTGAAAAACATGACCAATATAGATTTGCCTTTTCATAAGTTTTGCAATAAATACAATACATATTTGTATTTGCAACAAAACTTTTCCAAAAGTAGAAAGATACTTCTTTCATCAGTATCTTAAAAAAATAATTAGCATAACAACTACTCAATGAAATGTAGCATCGTCAAATGTGAAATTCCTTACCTGATAAGGACTTCTACTAAAGACCATGCTCCTTTCATACAAGTTGGACACTGAAACAACTCTAAATAATATCTCGACATGGCTGGAGACTTCCAAGGAGGATGCAGGTGAAGAAGAGCTGACAATATATGAAAGTATCGACCAGAAAATGTATCTATGTTATCCTATTATTTAAAAATAAACAAACAAATAAAACACTATAGCTAAAAGTAGTTTGACTCTCTAATTCAGTCTAAAACCAAAACAGTAACCCTGGCCTAACTTTCTTTTTTGAGACGGAGTCTGGCTCTGTCACCCAGGCTGGAGTGCAGTGGCACGATCTTGGCTTACCTCAACCTCCGCCTCCTGGGTTCAAGCGATTTTTCTGCCTCAGCCTCCTGAGTAAGTAGCTGGGACTACAGGCACCCACCACCATGCCTGGCTAATTTTTGTATTTTTAGTAGAGATGGGATTTCACTATGTTGGCCAGGCTAGTCTTGAACTCCCGACCTTGTGATCTGCCCACCTCAGCCTCCCAAAGTGCTGGGATTACAGGTGTGAGCCACCACGCCCGGCCTAACGCTGGCCTAAGTTTCTTGCCAAATATACGTGTTTAGACAAAGGAGAGCAGATGGAAGCATCATGTTTAGCTAATTAAATAAAGCAACTGAGAGACAGGCACACTCTATGTACAGCTGATACCTGAATAACAGGTTTTAACTGCATGGGTCCACTTACACATGAATTTTTTTCCAATAAATGCAGCCTACCCTTCACGTCCATAGGTTCTACAACTGCAATTAAATACAGTATTCTGTATTTGGGAGGCCTCGGCCTCTGAAAGTGCTGGAATTACAGGTGTGAGCCACAGCACCCGGCCTACTAAGAAGTTTTAATTTCCTCACCTGTAAAATAAAGATAATTCCTGCCCTTGCTGCTGAATGAGATTATGTAGTTCAAAGAGGATGATATGTATGACTGTATCTTATTAGTTATTGTATTAATTATTTTCTATTGCCTTCAGTAGTGAAGGAAATTTTTTTCCCTAGTAGTAAGGGAAAATTTTACAATTACCTCTAAAAGAAAAACCTTTAAAAATACAGTATTCACAGGATGTAAAACCTTCGTATGTGGAGGGCTGACTTTTCCTATAAGTGCAGGTTCTGAAGAAGCAACTGCAGGACTTGATTATGTGCAGATTTCAGTATCCACAAAGGTCCTGAAACCAATATCCTGTGACAGCAAGGGATGACTCTATCTATACATTGGGTAATCCCTTCTATTAACACTACCTTAGATGGAATACACATTTTCCTTTTCACAATTATAGTGAGATTTAAGAGGTCTCAAATGTTACCTGAAAGGAACTAAAAGTAACAAACTATTCATGCAACATGCTTACTTATCACCAACATAACATACCTGACAAAGCTTATGCCTGTTATGTTATCAAATTAGCACCTTGGTGAAGGGCATGATTAGAAAGCGATCTTTGAATATTTGTTCCTATTGGTTTACACAGTTTGGGTATGTTCCCAGCATGGGCAACATAGCAAGACTCCATCTCTACAAAAAATTTAAAAATTAGCCAGGCATGGTGGCATGCGCCTACAGTCCCAGCTACTTGGGAGGCTGAAGCAGGGGGACTACTTGAGCCCAGGAGGTTGAGGCCACAGTGAGCCATGATCACACCACTGCAGTCCAGCCTGGACAACAGAGAGGGAACTTGCCTCTATTTCTTTTTAAACAAAGAGTATGTTCATTATGTATACTATAAATAAAAATGATAATCATCAATGTACTAATGGAGTAATTTACCAAATGTAATTCTAGATCACCATAATCTGAATTTTATATTTGATACTTTACTGCCGTGAGAAAAATTAGATAACCTTTTTCCCCAAAACAAAATTATCTTAGAAATCCTGAGAAAATCATTAGCTAAAGCACTAAGAGTAGTACCTAGTATGTAGCTGGAAAACAGAACAGTAGTAATAAATGGGTACTGCATTAGTGAAATGAAGAAAAAAAAACACTGAACAGGGAAAATAAACTGTAAACATACAAAAAGTGAGAAAATGTTCACATTTTAACATTCTTTGAAAAAAAGATTATAAATCCTTAAGGCTGCTCTTACCTGTAGAACGTTCTCTAGAAGGGCATGAAGAACGCATACAGGAGGGATATAATGTGCCTGCAAAGTGGAAAGTTCCTCAATTGCTTCTTTAAAAAAATGTCCTTCTATGAGGCTTTCAATTAAATTTAATACACCTCTGGGAAATTCAGCATTTTTAACCTAAGAAAGGAAAGATTCTATGATTCAGAGAAAAGAAAGATAAAATTTTGCAATCAAATCATGAATTAGTAAGAATTTATTATTTATTTATTCATTCATTCATTTGAGACGGAGTCTCACTCTGTTACCCAGGCTGGAATGCAGTGGTGCGATCTCGGCTCACTTGCAACCTCCGTCTCCCAGGTTCAAGTGATTCTCCTGCCTCAACCTCCTGAATAGCTGGGCCTATGGATGCGTGCCACCACACCCAGCTGATTTTTGTATTCTTAGCAGAGACGGGGTTTCACCATGTTGGCCAGGCTGGTCTCAAACTCCTGACCTCAGGTGATCCACTTGCCTTGGCCTCCCAAAGTGCTGGGATTATAGGCGTAAGCCACTGCACCCAGCCTAGTAACAAATTTTAATTTCCTCATCTGTGAAATGAAGATAATTCCTGGCCTTGCTGCTGGATGAGACTATGTAGTTCAAAGAGGATGATATGTATGAATGTATTTTATTACTTGTTATATTAATTATTTTCTGTTGCCTTCAGTAGTAAGGGAAAATACTACCTCTAAAAGAAAACCTTTAACAGGAATTTGCAGTTTGGTTGATAAAAAAGAGAAAGAGCTACAGCGACATAGTTCTTTAGGTGAAAAATTATTTTTTGGTTTTCTTTTAAACTTAAAAATGAACTCTGTTAAAATATCTTAAAAATGTTAAGATATCATCAAGCACAAGCAATATTTGCAAAAAGTGAAAACTGATTGGGAGAATCATAAAATCACTCTGAGGTTGTACATTTATATAACTCTAAGAGCTTCACAAAATACATTCCCCTTGGTCAAACTATTCTTAATAATAAAAGTAACTACCTTGAATAATTTGAGTCAAAAATATTCTAAAAGACTACATGGAATTAAAAAATCAAGTTTAGAAGAATAAACAAGGAAACAAGGGCCTCAAGCCCGATTCCCTCCCTAATTTAACAATAGACTGGATATATGTATTGTAGGTTTATTTTGTTCTGAAATGAAAGTATGTAAAATAAAGGTATCATTTTCTTTAAATAACAAAATACACTTTTGTAAATATCACACCAAAAAATTTTAATCTAAAAGTAGTCATTATGAAAGTTATGAAACATGAGAACAGGAATGTATATTTCACCTGTCATAAGCACAAGGTGTGTTTTTAACATTTGTGATCATTTTTTACTATTATATGGAAATTTTTGGGGGAGTTTTGACAGAATATTTTTATCATTTCTGATTAGAGAAGCTATATTTCTTTATTTGTGCATATAATACGTTACCTTTTATTGTGCATACAACACATTACTTTTATTCAAAATAACTAATAACAAAACACAAAACTTCTTCTTTGCCCCCATCACCAATGCTGCTCCAAGCCCCTTACCTCTACGTTGTACACTGGTTGTTTATCTATTCTAATGCAGTTGTATCTGACAGCCTACAAAAGAGCAACCATATAATTAAAACAACATTTTAAGATTGAAAAATACATTTCAGCTTCCCCAAAACCTTGGAAAAACATATAAAACAGATCCAGGAACACATTAATAGCTATAATTAATATGATACTCATATTTACTCAAACTAGCAACTTTTATTATTTTAGGGAACTCTCACGACTATGAGCATTTCTCTATTTTCTCCTTCTAAATTACAATAATTAAGTCATATTCGCTTTGAAGATCTGAAGAGGTCCATTGTCCTTAGTGTCGTAATTATTAGAAATATAAATGGGGAGAGCATTTTGTACAGGGGTACACAGGAGAAAAAAACATCAGTTATGTTTGCTATATAACCATATGTCAAATCTTATTGTTTTAAAACACCCATAATTGCATATTTAAAAGATTATCCTGGAAAAATATCTGCAACAAATATAATAAAGAGATAATACCCTGAGGCTGGGCGCTGTGGCTCACACCTGTAATCCCAGCACTTTGGAAGGCCAAGCTGGACAGATCACCTGAGGTCAGGAGTTTGAGAACAGCCTGGCCAACATGGCAAAACCCCGTCTCTATTAAATATACAAAAATTAGCCAGGCGTGGTGGCAGGCGCCTATAATCCTAGCTACTCTCAGGAGGCTGAGGCAGGAGAATTGCTTGAACCTGGGAAGCTCAGGTTGTAGTGAGCTGAGATTGCACCACTGCACTCCAGCCTGGGCAACAGAGCTAGACCCGGTCTCAAAAAAAAAAAAACAAAAAAACAAAAAACCCTGGAAGAAGGGGGCTTCAAGATGGCTGACTTAGAAGTGCTTGGCACTCAGCTCTTCCACAAAGGACTAAAACAGTGAGTAGATAATCACACACTGAATAGGGCATCTAAGAGAGAACATTACAATTTAAAAGTGGCAGGGAATCTCTGAGGCAAGCAAAGACAGAGAAGCAAAGCAGCTGGCTCAAATGGAACTGGCTAGGAGCCTGGAGAAACTACCCACTACGAATGGGAAAAACAAGAGACATCTACACAGATCCACATTCCCACCATGAATTCCTGCAATCCTAGCAACTGGAGAGCCCCTTAGTCCTCACTGGCCCAGAGACTAGTTTAGAAAGCTGCCTGGAGTCCACTCAATGGCATTATTCCAAAGAAAGAGTACACGCTGAGTCCCACATAATCTGCTGGCACCCAAGAGGCTGCAGCATGGCGCCAGGTAGAGCCCAGACACTACCAGACTACATCCTGCTCTGTGGCCCAACAGTGCCTAAGCCCGGAGCCCCACTGATATTCCTGTCCACCCAGAGAGCTGCAGTGTCATGATGCCAGCTGGAGTCAACAATGCAACTAGGTGGCCAGCACTCTCACCTACACAGTGTCCTACATCCTAAGGAGTAGGAGGTGGAGAGCACCAGGGAGGCCACCCTGGGGACAAAAGGAGCCAAAGCAGGAGCTCCTCAGATCCTGAGAGCCACCTGCCTGGGGCCTCTGTCACTGGCAGAAACCCTGTCCCACAGTTTCTGTGTGTTTCAAACCCTGCCCAGCACCAGCGTCGTCATGCACTTGCATGTGGCTTCAGGAGGCCTGAGGAGTGGCCCACTGGGGGGTTGTCCCAGGGCTTACAGATAGATCCACTCTGCCTGCCACTGGTGCCCACAAGCGCCATCTGGAAGCCTGAAGACAGGCCTACCCCACCCGCCACCACTGTGTAAATGCACAATACGAGGACGTGGGGATCAGACCGCCTTGTCTGCTGCAGCCAGAGGCTGCAGGAGCTATCGGGGGGCCTGAGGAAAGGCCTACCCTACTCCGACTACTAGCACAGCCACCAGAGCCCAAGTGCACTGCCAGGGAGAATGGGTATCAACCCATCCCTGTCCACCACTCCTGGTGCCTGTGCAACCATCAAGAGGCCTGATAACAGGCCTACCTGGCCTACTGCAACAGGCACTTGAGCACGCTGATATGAGGCCTGTGAACAGACCTGCCTCATTTACCACAGCTGGCAGCCACGCCCACCGTCAGGGGCCTAGGAACAGATTAGACCTGCATGCAGCCTCTGGCAATGCCACCTGCACTTGTCATCCAGGAACATCGGGATCAACCCACCCATTCACCAACCAGGTGCCCAAATACACCATCTGGGGCCTAGGACAGCCCACTCTGCCAACTGCCACTGCTGCTGGGACCCCAGCACATTGTCTGAGAACCTGTGGATCGACCCATCACACCAGCTACCAGGAGCACCTATGCAAACAACTAGGGGGATCAAAGGATGAGCATGTCAAGCTGCTGCTGCTGATAACCACCCACATGTGCCACCTGGCCTGCTCAGCCTATTTCCACCACTGCTGGCACCCATGTTTGCTACTTGGGGGCCCGAGGATTGGCCCACAACCACTACTGCCATCACGAATGCCATGCACACCACCCAGAGACCTGAGGACCCACTCATCCCACTACTGTCACTGCTGGCACCCAAGCAAGCCACCAGGAGGCACAGGGATTGGCCTACCCAGACCTGTGATGACTGGTGTCCATGTATATTGCCCAGGACCCAAGAACCAGCATGCACAGCCTGCTGCCACCACCAGTGCTGCCCAAGGACCACATGCCTGTGTCCACATCCCCAGCAACACTTCATTATAGCCTCCACTAACAAATGTAGCCTAAGCCACTGACAAACTCAAAGATAACACTGTGGATGACTACAGATGAAGAAATCATATGGAGACTACACCAATGTGCTCACATCTGGCAAAACTAAAGCACTCTATCCAAACAACACTATAGATACAACTATAGAAAAAACCTATGAAAACCAATTCACAAAATTTGAAGTGACTGTTACACCAGATACACAGATAGCAACATAACTATGCAAGAAAGGTGAAAAAGCAAGACAACATGGCACCTGTAAAGGAACACAATAATTCTCCAGCAACAGATTCCAACAAAAAGGAAACCAATGAAATTCCTAAAAAAAATTAAAATGATGATATTAAAAAAACTCAGTGAGATAGAAAAGTACACAGATGAACAATACAAGGTAAGCAGGAAAATAATTCATGATCTCAATGAGAAATTCAACAAAGAGATAATCATAGAAAAGAACCAAACAGAAATCCTGGAACTTAAGAATTCAATGAATGAAAAAAAATATATAACAGAGAGCTTCAGCAATAGACTAGATCAAGCAAAAGAAACTATTTCTAAACATGAAGACAGGTCTTTTGAAATCCTGGAACTTAAGAATTCAATGAATGAAAAAAAATATATAACAGAGAGCTTCAGCAATAGACTAGATCAAGCAAAAGAAACTATTTCTAAACATGAAGACAGGTCTTTTGAAATCCTGGAACTTAAGAATTCAATGAATGAAAAAAAATATATAACAGAGAGCTTCAGCAATAGACTAGATCAAGCAAAAGAAACTATTTCTAAACATGAAGACAGGTCTTTTGAAATAACAGACAAAACGAAAAAAAAGCCTAAATGACATATGGGAAGGCATAAAGTAATGAAATATTCCAATTTTCAGATTTCCAGATGGAGAAGTGATGGGCAAAGGCATAGAAAACCTATTTTAAAAACAATAGCTGAAAACGTCCCAAGTGTTGTAAGAGCTATTTCCAAATAGATTCAATTCTCAAAGGTCTCCAAGGCACATTACAGTCAAACTATCAAAAGTCAAAGACAAAGAAAGAATTCTAAAAACATCAAGAGAAAAAGCATAAAGTCACATATAAGGAAATCCCAATCAGGGTGACAACAGATTTCTCAGCAGAAGCCTTATAAGCCAGGAAAGAATAAGATGACACATTCATAGTGTTGAAAGGAAAAAACAACAACAACAACAACAACAACAACAAACCCAACTCAACAGGCAAGAATATTATACCCAGAAAACCTATCCTTCAAAAATAATGGAGAAATAAAGTATTTCCTGGACAAGCAAAAACAGAGAATTCATTACTAACAGACCAACCACACAAAAAATGTTTACGCAAGTCCTACAATTGGAAGCAAACGGATGATATCTACCACCATGAAAACACAAGAAAGTATAAAACTCACTGTAAAGCAAAAATACAAATGAGAAAAGAGCCAAATGTCACCAATACTAAAAAAAAAAAAACAAAAAACACCCAACTGCAATGACAAACAATAAAAGAAGAAATGAAAAAAAGGACACACAAAACAACCACAAAACAATTAACAAAATAACACAAGTAAGTCCTCACCCATAATAACCTTGAATGTAGATGGATTAAATTCTCCACATAAAAGATATAGACTGGCTGACTGGCTACATGTATTAAAAAAGCAGTGTGTTGCCTATAAGAAACTCTCTCCACCTGTTAAAACATGTAAAGACTGAAAGTGAAGAAGAATGGAAAAAGATATTCCACAAGAACGGAAACCAAAGCGAGCAGAAGTAGCTATACTTACATCAGAAAAAACTTTCTAAGTTAAAAACTGTAAAAAGAGATAAAGAAGGTCATTACATACTGATAAAAAGATCAATTCCGCAAGAAGATATAACAATTCTAAATATCTATGTACCCAACTTGGAGCACCCAGATATATAAATCCAGATCTTGGAGCACCTAGATCTAGAGGGAGACAGAGACTTCAACACAGTAACAATTGGGGACTCTAATACCCCATTCTAAGCATTGGACAGATTATCGAAACAGAAAATCAAAAAACAGACATTGGATTTAAACTGCACTTTAGAACAAATGAACCTAACAGACATTTAGAGAACATTTTATCTAACAGCTTCAGAATACACATTCTTCTCATTAGTATATGGGACATTCTTCCGGACAGACATTAGGCCACACAACAAATCTCAACACATTTGAAAAGATCTGAAGTCATATCAAATATCTTTCTCAGACAACAATGGAATAAAACTAAAAATCAGTAAGAAAAACTTTGGAAACTGTACAAATACACGTAAATAAAATCACATGTTCCTAAACGACCATTGGATCAATGAAGTAATTGAGAAGGAAATAAAACATTTCTTATAATAAATAAAAATGGAAACACAACATACCAAAACCTATAGAATACAGCAAAAGCAGTGCTAAAAGGCACATTTATAGAAAAAATGCCTAATATCTAAAAAGTAGAAAGATCTCAAATAATCAACTTAACAATGCACCTCAAGGAAGAAGAAGAGCAAGAACAAACCAAACCCCAAATTAGTAGAAGGAAATAATAAAGATCTATTATTATTTAGATTAATTATAAATTAATAAATATTTATTAAAGATATATAAATAAATTTTAAATAAATAATAAAGAGCAGAACGAAACAAAATAGACTTAAAAACACATAAGATCAATGAAACAAATAAGTTAATTTTTTTTAAAAGTTAAACAAAATCAATAAGCCATTAGCAAGACTAACAAAGACAAAAAAGAAAAAACCCCAAATAAATAAAATCAGAAGTGAAAAAGGACACATTATAATTGATATCACAGAAACACAAAAGAATATTAGAGACTATTATGAACTATACACCAACGAATCAGAAAACTTAGGGGAAATGGATAAATTCCTGGACACATATAACCTACCAAGACTGAATCAGAAAGAAACAGAAAACCTGAACAGACCAATGAGATTTAATCAGTAATAAAACTCTCACAACAAATAAAAAGCCGAGGACCAAAAGACTTTATTGCTGAATTCAACCAAATGTATAAAGAACTATCAACAGCACTTTTTAAACTGTTTCAAAAAAACTGAAGGGTAGGGAATTCTACCTAACTCGTTCTACAAGGCCACCATTACCCTGATACCAAAACCAGACAAAGACACAACACAAAAAGAAAACTACAGGGCAATATCCCTGAGAAAAGCAGATGCAAAAATCCTTAACAAAATGCTAGCAAACTAAATCCAACAACATAGCAAAGAGTCAGTACACTATGATCAAGTGTATTGATCATAGTGTATTGTCATAGTCAATACACTATGATCAAGTGTACACTATGATTTATCCCAAGGATGCAAGGATGGTTCAACATACACAAATAAGTAAATTAATAAAAACAAAATGAAGGACAAAAACTATATGATCATTTCAATATATGCAAAAAAGCTTTTAATAAAATTTCTTCAACATCCCTTCATGATGAAAACTCTCAACCAACTAGGCACAGAAGTACTTCAACATAACAAAGGTCATACATGACAAACCTATAGCTACCTTATGTGAAATGGGAAAACCATGAAAGCCATTCCCTAAGGACTGAAACTAGAAAAGAATGCCTACTTTTACAACTTTTATTCAACCTAATACTGAAAGTCATCCTCACCAGAGCAATCAGGCAAGGAAAAGAAAGAAAAGGCATCCAAATTGGAAAAGTAAAATTGTCCCTCTCTGGAGACGACATGATCTCATATGTAGAAAAACATGAAGACTTGACAAAAAAAAAATCACTTAAAACTGATAAATGAATTCAGTAAAGCTGTGAGATAAAAAGTTAACATTCAAAAATCAGTAGCATTTCTATATGCCAATAATGAACTAGCTATAAATCAATCACAGAAGCAATCCCATTTAGAAGAGCTCTAAAAATTATAAAATACCTAGGAATATATTTAACCAAGGAGGTGAAAGATCTCTACAAGGAAAAAACGAAAAAACACTGATGAAAGAAATCGACATGGACACAAACAAATGGAAAGACATTCCATGTTTATGAGTTTGAAGAATATGGTTAAAATAACCAAATTGCCCAAAGTAATCTACAAATTTAATGGAATCCCTATCAAAATATCAATGACATTCTTCTGTGAAACAGGAAAAACAATCCTAAAATTTGTAAACAACTGCAAAAGACCCTAAATACCCAAAGCAATGCTGAGCAAGAAGGACTATAAATACCCAAAGCAATGCTGAGCTGGAGGCACACACTACTTGACTTCAAAGTATACCACAAAGCTATAGTAACCCAAACAGCATGGTACTGGTATAAAAACAGACATATAGACCAGTGAAGAACAGAGAATCCA